>NC_000009.12:104129642-104281158 GCF_000001405.40 Homo sapiens
AGGTATCCAAAATGTTGAAAGATTATGACTGGATTAATGCAGAGAGACACCTCTTTGGCCAACCCAATAGTGCCTATGATTTCAAAACTAACAACCCTAAAGAAGCTGGTCAGAGACTTCAGAAGTTGCAAGAAATGAAGGAGAAACTAGGAAGAAATGTCAATATGAGAGCTATGAATGTATTGACAGAAGCTGAAGAGCGAGTAAGTCAATTTCTTATGAATATCTGGCCGCATTAGAACATGACTAGCATTGACAGCTCTGTATGACCTCTGATGCAATTATTAGAGTTAACCTTTTGCAGATGTCCTTGATACTTTTCTTTCTGCTTTCCTTTTTCTCTTTTCGTCATTTTTTTCTTATTACTCTTATGCATCATTAGTTGTTTTTACATTCTATTACACCTGGAATGACTTTTTCACTGGCTTTTGTTCTTTGTCAAACATAATTCCTCACATTTCTATCATTTCATTTCTTTCACTTGCATTGAAAAGCCTTGAATAGGATATACTTCTGTCATCCTCTTGACTCTACTGTATACTGAAACTATATAAGTAATGACTAAAGCCATTATACACATAAATACTGTTTCACTGATCTGTAAATTCTGCAGCCTCTTCTCAGTTTTAATGCTCTCAATTACTCAATAATGTTATTCTTCCCTAACCTGACAAAACTTTGAGTCTGGGAAGGGAGTTTACTGTCATCTAGTGATGAACTTGGGAGGACCTATCACTAGAAAAACCCAGTGGGGGAAGCATTCCCTACTCTTAAGATAGCCATAAGAAATGGCTATCTTAGTAATTTTATATTAATGCCCCTATTAATGCCCCATACCTTCCTGAATGCTGGAAAATTCTGTTTGAATTTGCAAATCAGAGTAAAATTCATGAGAAATCTGCGACACTGATAATAGCACAGTTACTTTGAAGAAATTTTACCATAATTTTTTTTAACTGTTTTTGGCATGAATATGCACAAAGAGTCTATATTATATTAGATACCAAACAGATGAATCATGCAGGTATTGTGATCTCTCTAGAAAATGCTCCTGCTGGTTTTCATTTCTACATTAAAGCTTTGCAATATGTGATATATTTGTAGAAGGAAAACTTTGGTCTGAATTTGATCTGCATAACATGAAACTTGTTCACTTTTACTCGTTTACTTCTATTAGATGAGACCTGAGTCTAATATTTTTTTCAAAAGAATTTATCAACTCCCATCTCTTTACCAGAGGAGAAGCCTATATTGTTGATCAGCAGATGGCCTTTTTTTTTCTTGTGTTTTGTATCTATCTACATAAGCAATTACATGGATTTTCATGAAAAAATAAGATAAAAATGTAGAGAGAAGGTTAGGGGAGCGTGGCTGTAAAGAAGAGGGACAGCAAGGAAAACAGCAGGACTGACTAGAATTGTTAAAGGTGAATGTGAAGCCTCCTTGAAATGTAGGGCTTTGAGGAGAAATGAATTAGGAAGAGTTTTAGGAAGTCCCATTGCTGTTCATGGTATGATTATCCCTCTACAGCCTTGCTTGAAGGAAGACTACTCTAAAGTGGTGATATTTGAGCTGAAATTTCAGGCAACCGTTATGTCAGAGAAAGAGCATTCCAGGAAGGGAGAATAGTGCAGGGGCCATAAGACAATAGTGAGTTTATTATGTTCAAAGGAGCTGTAAAAGACCATATGGCCAGAACCTGGGGAGGAGTTTAATGCCATAAAGTCAAGGGATAAATAAGGTCCAATTCCCTTTATCCTGATGCATACAGGGCTTAAAACCTGGTTGATTGGTGCAGCAAGCCATCATGGCACATGTATACCTATGTAACAAACCTGCACATTCTGCACATGTATCCCAAAACTTAAAATTAAAAAAAAGTAAGGTCCAATTTATGTGGTTCCTATATATCATGGTGAAGGATCAAAATTTTGTTCATGTCACTGCTAAGGCTGACCTTAAGAGGAGAGCTTTCAGGGCTCCTTTTACTTAAGTTTATATGTAACACTTTTTTTTTTTTTTTTTGCCTTGGCTGCTAAGGAGATAAGGGAATATTAGTGGAGTCAAAATATTTTAAGGACTTTGTCTTATAAATTCTTAGTTCTAGTAATTTAGTTATATACATATGGATGATTTTATTCCTAATTTTGTTAAGAGTGTGTATATGAGTGTGTATATACACACACATCATACAGTATATGTATAGTATATGAGTATATATAATTCTTAGTGCATTATATCTTTTTGGTAAATAGCAATGTATGTATTGTATATAAAAATAATGAAAACTGTTTATTTCTGACCAAATTCCAGAATATAGAAGAGATTTTATATTTTCCCAGTTAACCATGTTTTTTATCTCATAGTACAATGACTTGATGAAGAAGAAGAGAATTGTAGAAAATGACAAATCCAAAATTCTTACAACTATAGAAGACCTTGACCAGAAGAAAAACCAAGCCCTAAATATTGCATGGCAAAAGGTACTTTTTATGTTTGTTTTATATGAGGTTGCAAGGATGAAAAAATATCATCAGTGGAGTTATACTCTATAAGAAATTTGAAATAGCTGATCTATGTTTGAATGAGGCACATATTCACACCTTAATTAAAACCTCTGACTTTTAAATGCATTTTTTTCTTTTTGAACTTGACTACTACCAGATCCTGGCATTCTTGTACTTCTGTAAGAATTGGATAGTAAACAAGCCAAGTTTAGTATTCTCTTTTACAGGATGCTTATTCAACAAAATCCCAATTCCATTTTGTTTTATGACAACTTTGGCAGATCTTAGGCTTCTTTACTGTTACTTCTACTTCCCTGACTTCATGTATCTGTCTCCTATAGGATAATTCCTTAGCCTCTCATGTGGAAGTTTTTCCATTTTTACTATAGCGGAAGATTCTTACTTCAGAGATTCCAAACATAGAGTTACTGTGCTGTTTGGTAGTTTAGC
Source organism: Homo sapiens (assembly GCF_000001405.40). Lineage (NCBI taxonomy): Eukaryota > Metazoa > Chordata > Mammalia > Primates > Hominidae > Homo > Homo sapiens. Next base: position 104,132,600 of record NC_000009.12, read on the forward strand.
AAACCTGTGCCTTCTGGGTTTTAATGGGGCACCTTGCCTCTTTTTCTCTTTGTAATTCTGTAGGAACTCTATCTTCAGTAATGCAGCACAATTATCCCTTTTAGTCACCTTGTTTTTTTCTTCTCTAAGACTTATTTTCAGTGCTCCATTCCCTGTAATATTTTTCTCTTAAAAATGGAAGCAAAAGGCTGACCCTATTAATTAGTGTGCAGCATGTCGATTTAACACTGGATCTGAGAGGTTTTTTTTTTTTTCTTTTTTCCCACCAGGATTCGTGGACTTAGTACAAATCAGAATCTATTGTCTAAACATATCCTGCTCTTCCCAAATTTCCAAGGTTCTTCCAAAGCCAGTAACATTTATTCAGTGCTTATTATATGCCAGTCACTATTCTCAAATTAATTTTCTCATCTAATCTTCACAATAATCTAACAAAGTAGGTACTGTTATCAGCATTATATTCTTCCTTCTGGCTTCAGGCTTACTTGATTGACAAAGTGACAAAGCCAGAGTATTCTAGGCTTTTTTTGTTTTTGGTTTGTTTTCTTCATAGCCTCATTGGACTTGCAGAATTCTCTTTTATTTCATCTTTATATCGATCTATGAATATAACTCATTTTCTGTGTAGCATAGGGCTGTATTCTTCTCTGTCCATTCTCTTTTGGAGGAAGTTTCACACTGGGTCTCTGGTTCAAGTTTAGTAGCATTCCTCTCTCTTGGTCCTGAGCTGCCTGTCCCACACTTGGCCTAGAACCTGCTTCCACTCTGTAGGATATTATTCAGCAGCCATGTACTTGCTTTTAAAATGTGTGTTACTTAGTAAATCTATATTTAGGATCACTGCTTGTGTCTATGAGATTTTCTTGTTACTATAAGTATTCATTAAAAAGTATATTTACATTTGAATATTGTATACCTGCATTGGAATTTGGAGATTTCTCTAGAGAACTTGGCTGTCAAGTCCTTTGTGTGTATGTGTGTTATGCTTTCAAGTTTGACTGCCGAACTAAGAATATTAGTCATGTCTTTGAAGACAGATGGCCAAATTCCCAAATCATCAATCAAGTGCGTATGAACAAAAATTACCCTATTACAAGCTAGGATTTTGGCCCTAAATCTCTGTCTCCTTCTATGGCAAGACAGGGGCAGGCCAAACAGCTTTCTTTTCTCTTGGGATGTAATCCTGTTTCTGGCCCTCAACAGCTTAACCTCTTCGGCTAGGAGATGAGGCATGTAGAAAAGAAGGCTTTAACAGATCTGGTCCTTTGATTTCATGCCCCTTTTTCTCCTGGGCCTCACATTGATCTACTTAGGCCTTTGGACAACAGGAAAAAGAAAAGTTTTAGAGGATAACATTTTATTCCAAAAATACTTGTGTTTTTTTGTTTGCTTCTCTATTTTGTGTTTTTTTTCCTCATGTGATACAATTGTGTGTATCTTGAGGATTCCTGCAGTGTGTTCTACAAAAGTGTCAAAACTTTGGACTAGAGTTAGAGGTGTGCCTTCTAGTTCCCCTGGAAATTAGAGCAGGATTCAGTAATTCATTTTTGTAAAGGGCCATATAGTAAATATTTTTTGCTTGGGAGCCCATCCAGTCTCTGTTGCAACTACCTGATTTTGTCTTATCACTAGCACCGATAGACGCTTTGTAAATGAATGAGCATATCCAGATTTTTCACATGGGCCATAGTTTGTCAGCCCCTGAGTTAGAGTAATAGACAAAGTAGACCTGCTGTGTTGCATATACATATATCAACAATTGATTCTTCTTGGAAAGCATCCTGATGTTTTAACTTTTTTATTTTTTAAATCCAGGTGAACAAGGACTTTGGGTCTATTTTTTCTACTCTTTTGCCTGGTGCTAATGCTATGCTTGCACCACCAGAGGGTCAAACTGTTTTGGATGGTCTGGAGTTCAAGGTTGCCTTGGGAAATACCTGGAAAGAAAACCTAACTGAACTTAGTGGTGGTCAGAGGTGAGGAATCACTTTGCTATATTATAATTTTCATTCCTCTTTATTATAATTCATCTCCTTACCTTAAAACTGTATTTGTGTTTTAACTACCTTTGCATGTAGAATTTAAGGAGTCTAATATATAAGACTAAACAATTTGGTTAAAACATTTGATTAAAATAGGTGACAAAGGAGGAATAAGCAAATAGAAAATTAGACAAAACATGTTTTTAAAAAATCTATTTTCAAATATTAGAAAATGAATAGTCCAGGACAAGATGAAACAGAAATGCTGAGCCCTATGTTCACCCTGGCTTTCTCTCTAGAGGCAGTTTTTGGACTTCAGTTGCCTAAACAGAGGTCAGTAGTATCACTAAGTTAAAAAGACAGATTAGAATTTTGCAAAGCCCTAGAGTGCTGCACCTTGGCATTAGGTCTCTACTGTCCCTGAAGTGAAGCCTAATGTAGACACATCCTAAGAAACTGAACAAATTTTTTGAAGGAACCAAACTGTTATTTGTTTATCAGAACAAAGGCCAGTGTTCTTTAAAGAAGGTTAAAAAAAATTGAGATACTAAACAATATAACCACAATGTCCAGCATGTAATCAAAATTAAAGAGAAAAATTAGTGAGTAGAAACAGACTCTGAAATGACAGATGATGCAAGTAGGAGACAAGTTAATCCAAGAAAACATGAACATAATGAGAGAAATAGAAGCTACTAAAAAGAATTAAGTGAACTTTCTAGAGATTAAAAAAAAGTTTACTGCATGAGATTAATAGGAGATGAGATACTGTAAAAGAAAAATCAGTAAATTTGAAGACATAGCAATAGAACAGAATCTGTTCAAGCTACATTGAGAAATAAAAAACTGGAGAAAGAAAAAACAACCAGCTTTAGTGTTCTAAGGGAAGCTGTCTAATGGGCAAGTAATTGGAGTTCCAAAAAGAGAGGAATACTTGAAGAAATCATGGCACCATGTTTTCCAGATTTGATGAATTCTGTAAACCCACAGACTTGAGTTCTATCAACCTCAGGCAGGATAAACAGAAACACATACAAAATAACAAAGCAAAAGATACATAAAACTGCTGAAAACCAGTGATAGGAGAAGAATCCTAAAAGCAGCTAGAGGAAAAGAGACATTATGTGCTAGTGAACAAAAATAAAAATGACTTTAGACTTCTTGTTAAACACTATGTAAGCCAGAAGTCTGGAACATCCGTAAAGTGCTGAAAGTATATGTCAACTTAGAATTGTATATCTAACAGAAATATTCTTCAAATTGAAGGCAATATGAATACTTTTCAGACAAAAACAGCAGAACCATACTACAGGTTAAAGGAAGTTCTCAGGCAAAAGGAAAATGATACCAGATGGAACCTTGGATCTACATAAAGGAAAGAAGAGTGTTGGAAACTAACATGGATTTGGAGTTCAGGGAAGTTTCTCCTGACCTTACACAGTGATTCAGAAAATCAGCATAGTGATAGAAACCTAAAAGGTCATATGTCCTTACACCTTACCTACCAATAGCCAATTAATTAAAACCTCCTGAAAGAAGGTTGTCAACATTCACATAATTGAAATTCGTGATTCATTTAGTAATTGGTTTTTTTCTCCTGCATGGTATATAATCCATAGGCCTTGAATTATTGTTCTCTGTCCTGTAATTCCATCATGTAACCCTTTTTTATGTACTTAGAAAATATTGACACCTGTTAATGTTCCTTATGACCCCCTTTATCATTTTTATGAGTAGAAATATATTTTATTTATATTTTTATAAAATTTGTAAATAAGAATCAAAAATACAGCTCCTGCTGCCTGTTCATAAAAATTGGATTCCACAGTTTAGTTCCCAATATCTTTAGCTATATTTGCCGAAGCCCTAGAAAATGTTTTGAGGAAAATAGAAAATGTATGCTTCTCTTCTTACTGGGACCTATAAATTATTTCCATAATTAAGATGCTATAAAGTTATTTTTAGATATACCACTATCCAACATGGTAGTTAAACCCTTCAGCACAGCAGAATTTTTTTTTTAAGATTAAGTTTTAAAACTCAATACTTGAGGCACTCATCACAGAGAAAGACAAAGAAACATAATTTTAGGTTGGCTGAATGAGTTTAGCTCCCTTTTATAGAGGTGATTAACAGTCTCACTGTGATTTGGTTTTGATGATACTGTTTTATTCTTTTTTTTTTTTTTTTTGGCTAGCAATTTTTCTCTACTTGTGCACACATTTTTTCCCTACTTACATATTTCTTAATAAATAGCCCTATTAGAATGCAGCAAGCCTTCGGCCAGGTATGGTGGCTCATGCCTGTAATCCCAGCAGTTTGGGAGGCCAAGGCAGGTGGATCACTACTTGAGGTCACGAGTTCAAGATCAGCCTGGCCAACATGGTGAAATCCTGTCTCAACTAAAACTACAAAAATTAGCTGGGTGTGGTGGCATGCACCTGTAATCTCAGCTACTAGGGAGGCTGTGGCAGTAGAATTGCTTGAACCTGGGAGGTAGAGGTTGCAGTGAACCGAGATTGTGCTACTGCACTTCATCCGGGGTGACAGAGCAAGACTCTCAAAAACCAAAAAAGAATGCAGCAAGCATTGAGTTGCCTATTCTAGTACTGTATGCCAGGATGTACTTGAAGTTACAGAATAAGTATATTACAAATGCTACTCTAATTTTTAGTCTAATGTTAAGTAATTATACATATTTTATATTAAAATAAGGCTTTTTATGAATTATATATTTGTAAAGAAAAAATATAATAATAATTATGATTCTTCATACCAGATTAGAATGAGCTGCAGTAAGCTAAAAGAGAACTGAAAATAGTGCTGTGGAACCTGAGATTAGGTGTAACTATGAATTTTACATAAGATTGTTTGAACTTTTGACAGTGATGTACTTAGAGTAATGGCCATAGTCTATACAACTTATTCACAAATGGTACCAAAAAATATATAGATTGTGTGTGTGTCTGTCTGTGTGTATATGCATGTTTATGTAAGTGTTTACATTATGAAAGTTTGAAAAATGACATCTAACTCAGTTACTGTTACCAAGATCATAGTTATTGTCTTAAATAATGACCATAGCTCTTAACCTGCTACCTAGGCTCTAATGAGCCAACTGGGGAAGGGAAACAAAAAGAAATTTTAAAACTAACATGATCTTAAGAATAGGTGCCAAACGTAATATGGCAATATTAAAATTGTCTATGAAAATAGCATGCTTCCGAAAAGAGGAGAAATGGAAAGCTAAAATAAAAGAAATAATATTTTAATACAACAAAAGTGTTAAAGTTTGAAACTCAAGATTCTTTTTTTTATATGACTACCTTTCAGATAAATCTGCTCTATTCACAATAATAGGATCACATATTTGCTTCAGTGTTTTGATAAGTGATAAAATCAAATTTTTATGGCTTTTCTTCTGACCTTTTCTTAGGTCTTTAGTGGCCTTGTCATTAATACTGTCCATGCTTCTCTTCAAACCTGCTCCAATTTATATCCTTGATGAGGTAGATGCAGCCTTGGATCTTTCTCATACCCAAAACATTGGACAGATGCTGCGTACTCATTTCACACATTCTCAGGTAAGAACCAGGAAAAAAAGTCTCAGTAATAGTTTAATTAGACTATTTTTCTAAAACCATTCTTTAGTTAGTAGTCAATGTTAATAAGATATTTAGGGTTGATAAATACTAAAGCATTGTATATCTATTTAAATAGACTTATGTTTAAATAGGTATAGAAGGAAAAAAGTTTCACTCTCCTTTTTAAGAAAGAGCTAGGCATTAAAAATGTTGGTTGTAGCATGAGGGAGATTCCAATTTAGTCATAATACAGAATTGATTTAGGGTTAATATAATTGTTTTCTCTAGTTAACTACCATAAAGATGTACAATCAAAACAAAACTGTCTCCGGGATATTTAACTGAGGTATCAGAAAATCATGTGACACTTGATGGGGAAATTTAATTTCTCATGGCTAAAAAGTAGAACAAAGAAAGCCTCTTGAAGCTAAGAACAGTTTGTTTTTAATGCACTATTGCTGTAGGAGCTGGGGCTGCCAAATATGCTTGCATAAATTATGCATTGTACAACTCTGGGGACTCCACTCATAGTTACCATGGATTGTGTATTTATTATAGCAGTGTTTTGGCAAATAACATTGAATGGGGCGGCGGGGCAGTGCCTAATTATTCAGAAGTTCTGTTTGGGCTAGTGGTGTGCTATAGGAACTTGAAACCTTCTTTGATATTAAAATGTCACAAGAAAAATATCTCACTAGAGCAGCTTTAGTTAGCAACAAAACTGAATGCCAGCTACAAAAGATAGCAACAAGCAGTCAACCACCAGGAAATAGTAAAATTGGGTAATGAAGTACCCAAAGTAAAATTAAGAGACTTCTAAAACAATATGGACAGCTAGCATTCATTTAGGTGCCTCATATAACTATTTAAAGAAATAAAATTATCTCCAAACCATTCTTATCACCAGTATAAAGGAGTAAACTTCAAGTATATCACAAAAAGTTTTTTTATACTTTTTTCTTTTTTCCTTAAGTTCATTGTGGTGTCACTAAAAGAAGGTATGTTCAACAATGCAAACGTTCTTTTCAAAACCAAGTTTGTGGATGGTGTTTCTACAGTAGCCAGATTTACTCAATGTCAAAATGGAAAGATTTCAAAGGAAGCAAAATCCAAGGCAAAACCACCCAAAGGAGCACATGTGGAAGTTTAAACTACAAAGTTATTTCTTCATCTTGACCTGTTTTTTTAAATGTAAACTTTTAAGGACTTGAGATAACTAATTTGTTTATATACAAAAATTAATGTTACTGTGTTACTTAACCCATGTTTTCTCTTTATATAATCACTTATCGCTTACAAATGAGCATATATTCCTCATCTCTTAACTAGTCTAATTATGGTCCAATTATTGTGGTTGTGATTTTATGCATATCATCAAATGTTTTTTTCTTATGCGGGTCTTTTATATATTAGGGATCCTGAGATACCCGATTCTATATGTAAAAGCTAATATACAAAAAAGCAGATTAAATTACATGATAAATGTAGCTGATCATCAGTGTTTAATTGATTTAATTCCTAAGGCAATATTAATGTGTTTTCTAAAGTCATTCAGGTAAGGAAGAATTATAAATCAGGTAACTGGACCAACAAAGGGAACACATATAAAGCTATTATGCATGCATGGAGCCGTTTGAGGCTAGTTTTTTAAGGCCACAACTCCAGACCCCTGATTTAGACTGAGATAGGAAACAGATCTTGAAAGAATCCTTATTTTAATGATACATGAATATCATGTTCCTATACGCTTAATAATTGGTCTCTACGTTTTAATGATACATGAATATCATGTTCCTATACGCTTAATAATTGGTCTCTACGACTTTAATGTTTTTGTTTTTTTAAGCTGTGTAAGTATTTTTAAATCAAAGCTTAGGAGGTGTGTTGCGTGGTACTATCTGCTGCAAATTTATCTGAAGTTTGTTAATATTTTCCAAGATTTTTGTCAGCCTTTTCATAATCCAGTCATTAACAACCTATTGGTAAACAAGAATGTAGGTGCCAGTAGACTAAACCAAATTTATTTTTCCCTGAGTCTGATATATATATGTATAAATATAAATAACTCAATCCATCTGTTCCACCAAAATAACTCAAAAGTTGGATGATTATTTGTCTTCCGCTTTCCAGTTCAAAGGGATGAAATTCCTTTAGAACTTGAAAGATGACACTAGCGAACACCATGAGAATACTGTCTACAGTTTTTGGTACGTCATCACTAGAACAGTGACCCCAAACTGAATCATGAAAGGTCTGACATGATGTAATCTGATCTTCCATGTGTTATTTTGGCCCCACATCTCTTCTTGATTTTTTAGTCTTATTTCCTTAGTGTTATTATCATACTTCCCCTGATATATGGCCGTACTTCCTGGCCCTGGGCTTGACATTTCCCACCCTTCATTCTCCATACATATGAGATGTCAGAAAACATGCAGTAATTGATATTATGGGACACATTGGAAAGGATTGAATCTGGAATTAGTTCTGTCCACTGTGGAGGGGAGAGGAAATAATGCTGTAAATGTTGAGTTACAGAAAGTCCAATGTCAAATATAGTTTTTTTGTTTCCTTTCAAATGTATTACAGACTGTGCCAAAACAGTTACCAATTCACACTGTCAATATTAAAGTATACCATAGTATACAAATTAGTCAGTACTTGCTGTTAATTTTAATATTTCTGATTTAACAGTTAGTTATTAAGTGGTACTTCATTGCTGTTTTAGCCAACGTTTTAAAAATAATTTGGGAGTTTGACTATTTTGGCTTACGTACTCATTTCCTTTTCTCTGCTAAAAATGTTTTGCTTGTGTGCGTTCCTGATTTTTGTCTTGTATAATCTTGATCTTTGAAAACCCTCAAACATGTATTAAATTGTTGTAACTTTTTTTCATTAGAGGGAAGACATTAAGGGGATTGGGGACATTTGTTTCACACATCTGCAGTAATATGAGTTAACTAATATTTAACAAGCTCTTTCTTTACATTAGCTGCTGTTCTCATTTGTATGTATTGTCATATTTAATCCTCAGAGTAACCTAGTGAGGTAAATACTGTTGTTGTCAGCATGGTGTAATCGAGGAATTGAGTGAGTTGAGCAGAAAAGTTAGGAAACTTGCTCAGGGTGATAATACAGTTAGGAGTGTCAGGGCCCATGGACAAATCTTGTCAGTCTCCAGAACCTAAGATATACTACGTCACTGACAGCTTGAACATTTGTATTTATTGTACAGAATAAATTTAAGAAAAATACCTGTATGAGCAGTATGTACAACGTGAATGTTACCTTAAAGAAGAACCTCAACCATGTGAAGAGAGGATTCATTGTGGTGGTGGCGGTTTTGGCATTTCAAGTAAGCTCACAGCAAATGCAAAGCAAAGACATGAAATTTTCTCTTCCAATAGGGTGGCATAATCTAAAGGCCAACATTCCCACAGATGATAAATATAGATTCTGAGCAAAATACTAGAAACAACTACCTGAGAGTTCAGGAAACTGAAGAAAAACTAGAAAGATTTTGGATGGGAGATAAAATACGGAGGAAGAGACAGGCACAAGCTAAGGTTAATGTTTTTAACCTAAGTACCAGCTATAGTCATGATGCAGCTGTAGGACAGCTAAGGCTGCAGTGGAAAGCCTGGGGTCTTTCTGGTCTGGAGAACTAAAAGATGGGATCTGGGCTAACCACAGCTTCCAGAAAGTGAAGGAGACGTCTCAGAAGGGATAAACGAGGACCTGGAGAAAGAGGTCCCCAGACTTACTTAGTAGATGAAGTCAGCGAAAGTAATTAACCCCTGAACTCTAGATACAGAACACATCAAAGATAAAGCCAGATACTAGTTAAAACAGTAAGGATAGATTTAAATCAGTAACATACTCTTGAAATAAGAAGAGTCCAGTATGAACTGAACTCAATTTTGATTTGTATTGAGGTGACTGGGTGTCTTAAAGGGAGAATGAGGGAATAGAGGAGGATAAGTGGGGGCTTAGAGTCAGGGATATAAACAGGAAAGGGAATTGGTTGATGTGAAACCCATTTAGATTTGTTAACTGGCTCTAATGCCAAGGTAGGCTCTTACCCTCCCACAGAGACTGGGACTCTACCTTCAAGTGTTGGTTGGAAGAAACAGTAAACTCAGCAACCTTGAGTTTTCTCAGGAGTTGACTTTCAGGAGGAGGATAGTCAACCTATGGATGTGGCTTTGAGCTGTTAGAAACTGCTAGTGTTTTTTTCAGATCTTTACAGGCAAAGGTTTATTTAGACGTAGAAAGGGCTCAGAAGAACCTGGCTAGAACTTCATCAAAGAGAATCTTTGTGAAAAAGACAAGCAGTTTGCAGTTTACCATAATAAAATTAAATTGTGATTTGAACTGCCACCTGCAAGACCGTTCTCCAGGTGACCTTGGACTGACCCACTTCTCCCCACTTCTCACTAGTTGTCAAAAAGAACAGCCTTGCTATCTGGTCAGGTGAATGACAACCAAGTGGAAAAAGATCTGTGTGGTTACAAGGAGTATGGCAAAAGGTTGCTAACTGGCAAGGACAAATACATGTCACCTGTGGATGCTGGGAATACCATAGCCACCTTTTAGGGAAACTTAAATTATGTTTTTGGATACCCTGTAAAACTTTGCTCTGACAAGGAACCTCCTTTACTGCCCAAGGAACATGACAGCAGGCACACTCATGGAATACAATGGGTTTTCCATGCACCCTGTCATCCTCAGTCCAATAGAGCTGTTGAACAATGGAAAGCCAGCTCACAATGAGTGAAGGAAGGACACCAAGATAGCCTACAAGTGGGGTGGTACCACCCCATCCGAATATGGCAGTATGGACACTGAGCACTGCCCTCCAGGGCAAGGGAACCACATGATTGCAGCACATGTTGAGAAGCACTGAGCTTGGAGGAGGTACAGGTGGACCAGATGACGGCCTCTGCCTGTGAAATCCAAATTCCAGTGTTCCCAGCCATTTTCTCTTTTTAGAGTGCACATCCTGTGGGTGGTTTGCAGTTCAGGCTGCCACAGTACCCCAAAAGGCCCCCCTAACTCTTAATCTGGAGTCAGCGTTTCCCTCAGGTGCACTCCCTGTGGGATCCCTCAAGGGTGGAAACAGGACCAAGAAATACCAGGATGCTAGAGTCCCTCTGATAGTGCCAGGGACATCTGATCCTTCCATTTGGCTGGGCAATGTTGTCAGACATGTCATCATTCAAGAAGTGACTTCCCTTCCTGGACTGGATGGCTGAGGCTGAAATGTCTGAGGCATTTCAAGGGTAGTACCACAGGATATGGTAATGTTTATAGTATACAGTGTGATGTTTTGATATTTGTATATGTTATGGAATGATTACCTCAATCAAGCTAATTAACATATCATCTCACATAATTACCTTTTTTGTGTGTATGGTGAGAACATTAAGATGTATTCTGGCAAATTTTAAATATATAACAGTATTAGCTATAGTCACCATGCTGTACAGCAGATCTCCAGAACTTATTCATCATGCATAACTATGACTTTGTATTCTTTGATAAACATCTCCCCACTTCCCCTGCTCCCCAGCCCTTGGCAACCACATTCTACTCCCTGGTTCTATGCGTTTGACTTTTTCAGATTTTACAAATGAGTGAGATCATTAGAGTATTTGTCTTTCTGTGCCTCTTTGATTTCGCTTAGCATTATCCCTTCTATGTTAATACATGTCACAAATAACATGTCCTTTTTAACGCTAAATAATACTCCTGTGTGTATCTTTATATCTAGGTTGACTCTAGTTTTTTTGCTAGTATGAATACCGTAAACATTTGTGTACAGGTCACAGACATCTGATCCTTCCATTGTGGTGGGCGATGTTATCAGATAGGTCAAGTTTGTTTAGGACCTGACCTCCCTTCCTGGACTAGACCACTGAGGCCAAAAGGTCTGGGTGAAGTAACAAGGGCAATGGGGCCTGCAGAGGTAGTGGCCTCAGGATAGGGATAGACAGACTGGGTTACTGCCCCAACTCAGCCTGACCCCTATCCCATAGATGGAGTCAACTCTGAGAGATCTGGATGGTTTGGATGCATAACACCTTTGTTAGGTTCTCCTAAGCTGTGGCCATGGCCACAAAGTGATCTGCCATTCTGGACCTCATTCTGTCACAGACCACAGTGACCAAGTCTTATTAATGGCATAGTTGCATTCACTCAGGTTCTCTCGTACAATGTTATTCATGAAGCCCCTACACAGAGGGCTAACAACAATCCAGTCCCTGTTTTTGTTGTTGCCATTGGGATACTTACTCATGTAATAAAAGGTGTGTCAAAGTGCCAGCCCCTCAAGGTTTTGTTAGTTGTGGTTCTGATATTTTGCCAGAGGTCATTATTTTAAAACAGGGCACCAGCATTCCTAATGCTATAACATACACCAGTACACTAACAGAACCTGAGCCTGAGCCCTGATTACTGAGTAAGGATGTATCCATAGCATGGAAAGGAGCCAGAGGTGACCAGTTTTTTTTTTTTGTTTGTTTTTTTGTTTTGTTTTTTTTGGCCTATGGATATCCAATTGCTCCAGCACAATTTGTTGAAAAGGCTGTCTTAGCCAGGCACGGAGGCTCAAGCCTGTAATCTCAGCACTTTGGGAGGCCGAGGCAGGTGGATCACTTGAGGTCAGGAGTTCGAGACCAGCCAGACCAACATGGTGAAACCCCGTCTCTACTAAAAATACAAAAAATTCGCCAGGCATGGTGGTGTGTGCCTGTAATCCCAGCTACTCGAGAGGCAAAGGCAGAATTACTTTAACCTGGGAGGTGGAGGTTGCAGTGAGTTGAGATTGCACCACTGCACTCCAGCCTGGGCAACAGAGCAAGAGACTGTCTAAAAAAAAAGTCTGTCTTTCCTCCTAGAAAAACATCGAGTTGGTTTTTTCTTTTCCAACTGTGTCAAAAATTATTTGGGCATTTTTAAGTCTACTTTTATTATAGGTTCTCTATTCTGTTCCATTGATCTATGTGTCTGTCCCTTTTCCAATATCTCACAGTCTTGATTATGGCCCTACATAATAAGCCTTGAAGTCAGTTAGATTGATTCTTGCTACTTTATTCCTCTTTGTCAAAATTGATTTAGATATTCTTGATGGATGCCTTTCCATACAAGTTTCAGAATAATCTTAACTATATCTACAGAATGCCTTGGGATTTTTATAGGAATTATATTAAACCTAGGTATTAATTTAAAGAGAATTGACATCCTTACTATGTTGAACCTGGTAACCCAGGAATACGGACTGAATGTCTCTCCATTTATTGAGATCTTTAACTTCAACACTGATTATTTTCAGTACACCATATATAGAAAGGCAACAGTCTAGAATATCTAAGTCAAGTTTGACAAAGAGGAATAAAATAGCAGGAATCAAATGTGTATGCTGAAACATTCTGTAAAACATTCTGTACATTTTGTTAGACTTACACCTAAATATTTCATTTTTTGAGCTATGATAAAGGGTATTTATGTGTAACAATAATATCCATATGTTCATCATTAGTGTATATAATTAATTTTTATATGTCTATCTTGTAACCGTTGGCCTTGCTAAACTTCTTAGTTCTAGGTTTCTTGTAGATTTTGCGGGATTTTCTACACAGACAATTATGTCCTCTACAATCATAGGCAGCTTTATTTCTTCCCTGTTGATCTGTATGCCTTTTATTTCCTTTTGTGCCTTATGGCATTGACTGGAACTTCTTAGCACTGTGTTGTGTAAGAATGGTGAGAGCCAGACCATCCTAGCTAACACGGTGCAACCCTGTCTCTACTAAAAATACAAAAAGTTAGCCAGGCCTGGTGGCGGGCACCTATAGTCCCAGCTACTTGGGAGGCTGAGGCAGGAGAATTGCTTGAACCTGGGAGGCGGAGGTTGTAGTGAGCCAAGATCGCGCCACTGCACTCCAGCCTGGGCAACAGAGCAAGACTCCATCTCAAAAAAAAAAAAAAAAAAAAGTGTGGTGAGAGCCACTACACTTGCCTTGTTCCCAAAATCAGGGAGGAAGTATTCTTTCACCTCGAAGTGTAATGTTAGCTGTAAGGTTTTGGTAGATGCTCTTTACCAAACTGAGGAAGTTCTCTTCTATTCCTATTTTGATGGCAGTTTTTTATCACGAATAAGTATTGAATTTTTTCAATGCTTTGTCCACATTGATTGGTATGATCATGTAACTTCTTCCTTAGCCTGTTAATATCATGGATTACACTGCTTGATTTTTAAATATTGAACCAGTCTTTCCCTAGAATAAACTCTACTTGAGAATGGCATGTATAATTCTTTCTGCATTTGCTGAAATGTATTTGCTAATAATTTGGTCATGGTTTTAATGTCTCTATTCATGAGAGGCATTGGCATGGTTTTCTTTTTTTCTTGTTTCAGGATAATCCTGGCTTCATGAAATTGAATTGGGAAATGTTCCCTCCTCTATTTTCTGGAGGATTGTGTAGAACTAGTGTTAATTCTTCTTTAAATATTTGGTAGAATTTTGTGAAATAATCTGGACCTTGAGATTTGAGGGTGGTGGTGGGTGGTAAAATTAGTAGTAAAAATTTCCTTAGTAGTTACAGGACTACTCTATATCTTTTATCTATTTTATATAGAATGAATTGCAGTAGTTTCTTCTTTTTGGGGAATTACTGTCTTTCATCTAAATTGCCAAATTTGTGTGTGGAGTTAATCATGGTATTTCTGTATTATCATCCTTTTGATGTATTCAGGTTCTCTAGTTGATATCCCTTGTTTCATTTCCAATATGATAATTTGTGTCTTTTTTTAACTTTTGTCACCCTTGGTACATAGAGGTTTGTCTATCTGTTGTCTAATGTTATGATCTTTTCAAAGAACCAGTGTTTTATTTCATTAACTTTCTCTACTGTTTTTCTGTTTTCAGTTCATTGATTTCTGCCCTTAGCTTAATTATTTTCTTTTTTCTGCTTGCTTTGGACTTACTTTGGTATTCCTTCTCTAGTTTCTCATGAGGAAGCTTAAATTATTAATTTGAGAATTCTGATTTTTTTCTGATTAGCATGTAATGCTACAAACATCCCTCAAGTAATCTTTCAGTGTCATCTCACAGATTTTGTCATGTTCTGTTTTCATTTTCTTTAAATTCAAAATGTTTTCTAATTTACTTTCTTGAACATTTCTTCTTCAACTCATGGTGTTTTTGAGGGAGTTTTTTTTTTTTTTTTTTTTTTTTTTTTGAGAAGAAGTCTCAGTCTGTCGCTCAGGCTGCAGTACAGTGGTGTGATCTCAGCTCACTGCAACTTCTGCATCCCAGGTTCAAGCGAGTCTCCTGCCTCAGCCTCCCGAGTAGCTGGGACTACAGGTGTGTGCCACCACGCTTGGCTAATTTTTTGTATTTTTAGTAGAGACGGGGTTTCACTGTGTTAGCCAGGATGGTCTTGATCTCCTGACCTCGTGATCCACCCACCTCGGCCTCTCAAAGTGTTGGGATTACAGGCGCGAGCCACTGCACCCAGCCCTGGGGAGTGTATTTTTTAACTTATAAATTCTTGACATTTTCCAAGTATATTTTTCTTCTTGACTTCTAATTTAATTCTTGTTTGGTCAGGGATCATACTTTGTATCATTTCAATTTAAAAAAATTAGAAATTGACAGACATATGCTTCTATTAAAAAACAAAAAGCCACAAATATAATGGTCTAAGGTTCTATTCTAACCTGTATTCTAGATAAGAACAAAGTAAACTCAAGTAAAAAGATTGAAAAATAAAGGATAGGAATCCATAATATATAAAACAATGGAGAAAATCAATGAAACCCAGATCGAGTTCTCAAACTGTCAACAAAATCTCTATATCCCTATCAATCAAGGAACCAGAGAAATTACAAATCACTATCAGGAATGAAAGAAGAGCTGCCACTGTGGATCTTACCTGGATTAAGAAGATAAAAAATTATGACCATTTATATGTCGATAAATTTGACAACTTAGACAAAATAGAAAAATTCTTTGAAAAATAAAACCAAAATTGACACAAGAACAGACAAAATCTGAATAGCCTCACATCTACTAATGAAATTGTAATTATTATTAAATATCTTTCCACAAAGAAAACTCCAATCCTACAATGAATACTCCAAGTTTCACTCATAAATTTTACCATTTAAGGAAGAAGTAACACCAATCTTATAAATAGAAGGGGAGAGAACACTTGCTAGTTTTTTTGTTTTTTTTTTTTACTAGACTAGTATTGTTCTAATAGTAAAACCTGACACAGACATTACAAAACAAAAAAGTTAAAGGAAAGCAACCCTCATGAATATAGGAACAAAAATTCTTAAACTATTATCAAATCTAATGACATAAAAGATTAGCCATTACAAAGATTTTTTTCAACAGATGGTGCTGACAACTTGATATTTATATGAAAAAAATGTAAACATTGACCCTTAACAACATACAGAAAAATAAATAAAAATGGGTCATAGGCCCAGAAGTAAGTTCTAACACTTATAGAAGAAAACATAGTGACCCTACATTATGCAAAGATTTCTTAGGACAAAGAAGACACAAGGAAAAAAGAGACTAATTGAACTTCATCAAAACAAAGTTGAAAAAAATCTCTTCAAAAGACACTTAAGAAAATGAAAAGACAAGCTACAGAATAGGAGAAATTACTTGCAATGTATACATTTAACAGAATTGCATCCAAAACGTTTAAAGAACTCTTGCAACCCACTTGTTGACATTTGCATGAATGGGAAACTGAGAAGCTGACACCTTAGCATGCAAGGTAGTGCAACACACTGATTTCTAATGATTGTATTTCTCACTGCAACGCATTTGAATTTTTTTTTTTTTTTTTTTTTGACAGAGTCTTGCTCAGTTGCCCAGGCTGGAGTGCAGTGGCGCAATCTCGGCTTACTGCAACCTCCACCTCCTGGATTCATGCCATTCTCCTGCCTCAGCCTCCCGAGTAGCTGGGACTATAGGTGCCCGCCACTAAGCCCGGCTAACTTTTTTATATTTTTAGTAGAGACGGGGTTTCACCGTGTTAGCCAGGATGGTCTCAATCTCCTGACCTCGTGATCCGCCCGTCTCGGCCTCCCAAAGTGCTGGGATTACAGGCATGAGCCACCGCGCCCGGCCGCATTTGAATTTTTTTAATGGCAGTTTCTGACTTTAATAAAGCTATAATACTAATTTTTAATATCTCAACTTCCTGAGTACATGTCTGTAATAATCCGTGGGATGAAATGAGAATTATATATAAAGCACTTCTGCATAGCAAAACATGACAGTTATTTTACAGAAATGCAGTTGTTTTATTTGGAGTCTGAAATAAATGCTTTTTTTCATGGAATACCATTTTTACTTGAACAAATTTTTTTTTTCTTTTTTTTTTTTTTTTTTTTTTTTTTTTTGAGACGGAGTCTCGCTCTGTCGCCCAGGCTGGAGTGCAGTGGCGCAATCTCGGCTCACTGCAAGCTCCGCCTCCTGGGTTCATGCCATTCTCCTGCCTCAGCCTCCCGAGTAGCTGGGACTATAGGTGCCCGCCACTAAGCCCGGCTAATTTTTTTATATTTTTAGTAGAGACGGGGTTTCACCGTGTTAGCCAGGATGGTCTCAATCTCCTGACCTCGTGATCCGCCCGTCTCGGCCTCCCAAAGTGCTGGGATTACAGGCATGAGCCACCGTGCCCGGCCGCATTTGAATTTTTTTAATGGCAGTTTCTGTCTTTAATAAAGCTATAATACTAATTTTTAATATCTCAACTTCCTGAGTACATGTCTGTAATAATCCGTGGGATGAAATGAGAATTATATATAAAGCACTTCTGCATAGCAAAACATGACAGTTATTTTACAGAAATGCAGTTGTTTTATTTGGAGTCTGAAATAAATGCTTTTTTTCATGGAATACCATTTTTACTTGAACAAATTTCTTTTTTTTTTTTTTTTTTTTTTTGAGACAGAGTCTCGCTCTGTCGCCCAGGCTGGAGTGCAGTGGCGCAATCTCGGCTCACTGCAAGCTCCGTCTCCTGGGTTCACGCCATTCTCCTGCCTCAGCCTCCCGAGTAGCTGGGACTACAGGCGCCCGCCACCACGCCCTGCTAATTTTTTGTTTTTTAGTAGAGATGGGGTTTCACCGTGTTAGCCAGGATGGTCTCGATCTCCTGACCTCGTGATCCACCTGCCGCGGCGCCTCAAAGTGCTGGGATTATAGGCGTGAGCCACCGCGCCCGGCCTTACTTGAACAAATTTCTTACAAACTATGGTTATTAGGTTTATGGTATCAGGTAGCCATTTCTCAGAATTGAACAAAGTGAGCCTGTTATATAAACCTAACGTATTTGTTGCCAATAATAAAATTGTAGCTTTCAAATGAAAATTAGAATTTTGGCAAACTTGTATTCCTTATGAGCTTGACATATCTTAGTATTTCAAGACTTTTCTAATACAACAGGTGGCAATGTTAACAAATGAAGTTTTTTTGATACTGTATTATGAAACGTGTTAACATTTAGGAGATATGCATGATTCAGTGAATGGCATTTTCCAGTGGCCAATGTGTGATATTACAAAGTCATTATGTGGGTAAAATAGGCATTCACAGTGCAGGAATGATCAATGGTTTTAATATTACAGAGTACAAAAACTTTACTGATTTGGTTTCAAACTCCACATTGCAACTAAATTTTAAGAAGCTATTGTCACATTTTGTTTTTAGTATTAAGGAAAAATATTTACATTATTTGAAAAGACTCTTAAAAATATTTCTACCTTTTCCAACTACTTATTTGTTCTCAATTCTACTTGGGTTACTCAATTTGCCTAAAGTTATACAGCTAGAAAATAGAAAAGCCTAAGTTTGAATTCAGACTGTCTAGCTGATAAGCCCATACTCTTAGATATTACACCATTATAATGAGTGAGAAATACTCCTAAATTTATGTCTGGAGCTGAGATAACATTCGGTTCCCCCTTGAATAGAAATACAATATTCTGGCCGGGCGCAGTGGCTCATGCCTGTAATCCCAGCAGTTTGGGAGTCCGAGGCGGGTGGATCATCTGAGGTCAGGGGTTCGAGAACAGCCTGGCCAGCATGGTGAAATCCCGTCTCTATTAAAAGTAAAAAATTAAAAAAAATTAGCTGGGCATGGTGGTGGGCGCCTGTAATCCCAGCTACTCAGAGGCTGAGGCAGGAGAATCGCTTGAACCCGGGAGGCAGAGGTTACAGCGAGCCGAGATTGTACCACTACACTCCAGCCTGGGCAACAGGGTGAGACTCTGTCTCAAAAAAAAAAAAAAAAAAAAAATCAATGGTATCAGCCCTTTTATGTATTGCACCTATTGCTTCCTATTCTATTTTTGTATGTGTGAAAAGTATATAAACTGCCTAAGCTATTGTGTTTCAAGGTTGAAAAGTTTTATTTTCACATCTTTCAACTTTAATCAAAGACAAATTTTTAAATCCCTTAGTAATTTAGTTATAGAAGTCTACTATATTGCTAATTACTTAGAATTGAACATTCAAGGCATATGTTAATTTGAAGAAAAGAAAAAAGAAATCTAATGGAGGAGAAAAAGATTTTTACCAATGGATTGCTTCTAGATCAGCGTAAGGAAGCAGGTATTAAACATATCCTGATTACCTCTGCTTTGTGGGACCAGAAAGAACATAGGTAATTTACTTTTATAAATAATTCCAATATTTTAAGCCATATCTTCCACGCCGCCTGTCACATAATTTCCATTAGGACTAAATGAACCAAAAATGTACTGTGTTGCTACTCCATGGCCCATGCTATCCTGGTGCCTTGCTACTAACGATTTAGATAGAAAAATGTGGGTTCAGGGTAAAGAGAGAAAAGAAAGGAAGAAAACAAGGATGCATTGACTGCACAAATTTTCATCTATTAGCTCCTTTTAACAACTCAGCACAATTGCTATTATTACTCTCATAGATAAGAAAACAGGCTCAGAGACATTAATTTACCTCCCCTCAACTGAGGTATAGCAGAATCAGAATTTAAATACATCTCTTCAATTCCAAGGTTCATGATTTTTCAACATGTGTTTCTAAAATGCCATTTAATAATGTAAAAACTAAAGGGAAAAAAACTTTCTACACAGAATTTACTTAAATATATAGGATCATAAACTTCGAAATGAACTCTTTTGCCTTCCATTCTTTTAAACTAAAAGAGCAAAAAATACACAATGACTACAAACAACCATGAAACCACAATTTAGCTCAACATCTCATGCAGATAAAGGGGTGAAATAAAGTTGCAGCATAGAGAGTCAGATATACAGAGCATATAACATGTATTATGAGCCATGTAATGACTTATTTTTCCCACCACTTTTCTCAATGTACATCACTGTAATCTTGTACAGTATGCTATTTTGCCATCACCTACTAAGACAAAACCATGTACATGCTAAAAACACCTCTGTTCTTTTATTTAATGGCTCAATTGCATCAAAGCATTCCTACTTCATGCTAAAGATATTGTTATACAATTATAAAGGCAAGCAATGAAATCACTTGTATCAAGAATACAAGTTATTTATTAAGATGAGCCTTAAACATGTTTATATTCACTTTTAAACTTACCGAAAGAAAAAGCACAAAATTTAAAATATTGAGAAGTTAACAGACCCCTGAGAATGTATCCTAAGACCCCTCCCCAGAGGTCCTCAAACTGCAGTTTGAGGAGGACTACACTATAGCATATGAAAGTGTATATGCTTTTTATATAGGATCATTATTCTCTGACAAAAGTTTCTTCCACAGTAACAGTTTGCTCAGAGGATTTTTACTAAGATTTCTCATGTATGTTCTACTGTACTTTATGTAGCGTAAAGCTTTTTCCCCATCTCCCTGAAGAGTGACAGCTTCAGAACACCCTTCTTGACTTCAGGACTAAGAACAGCTAGCTGGAATAGCTCTTCCCATTTAGGTCTAGCTCTGAATTTCTCAAAGTCCTGTACAAAAGCTAAATGTAATCTATTTATTGTCCTTTCTCTTTCATAATGTGAAATTGGTGACATTGATAATATCAACTAGATAGATTGCTAGACAAATTAGAACATAGTAAATGTTCTTGCAGTTTCTTGACACATACAAGGTACTAAAAAAACGTTAAACTCTATCACCACTAACATAAATCAAAATTATTCTATACTATTCCAAATGTACATTTACACTTATATTATCATGTCTTATGGATTAATTTGTCACCCCAACAAACCAAACTCTTTGGACTCAGAGAGCAGGCTTATTCCAGCGTTTTCAGTGCCTAAATAAGTGCTTAGCACTTAGGAGTTTTTCTATCAATCAGGAATTGCTGAACTAGTGAATTCTTGTTTATGTCACCTCACATGTGATGTATAATACCTTCACATGAAACACTGTAGTAAAAAACATTTTTTAAGATTTCTGTTTTTTTGAATTGTCTTCCTTTTACCTAACAATACATGAAACATAGTAGGAAAGAATTGTATAAATTAAATCACACCTCCACCCAACCACACACACACATCTCCTTAAGAGCTCATCTGATTCAACCCCATAATTATTTTCACTGTGGGGCAATTTAAATTTAGGAATGTCAAGGAACTTCTTGTCTCTGAATGTCCAACCCAGTACTTTCTCCCTTATGTGTGCTGCCTACTACCCCTACCTACTCTGTGTCTTGGTTATTTACAGTTTTCTTATATATATTTTTTGTGCATTACTCAAATTTTCCATCCTATTTTACTTGTCTGTTTCTTCTGCCTACAAGCCCTTTATTTCAATCTCTGTCTAGAAATTGTTTGTGTATCTTTCAAGTGTCAGATTTAATGCTATGTCTACTGAGGCCTTGCTGCAGATAGCTTGAGATGCTGCCTCTTTCATATTTTTTCAGTAAGTCAAGACCTCTCAGGATGGTTACTGTATTATATTCTCTCGGTGTTATACCCCCTGGAAAGCAAGGAGGACAGGGAGAATGTTTAATGTATCTCTTTATCGTTAATACTTAGCATAGTACCTGACACAGAGAGATTAACAAATGTTTCTTTCTTCACTTGATACATAATAGTTTACATATTTATGGAGTACATGTGATATTTTGTTGCATATGTAGAGTGTGTAATAATCAAGTCAAGGGATTTGGGGAATCCATCGCCTTGAGTACTTACGGTATCTATGTTTTGGGAACATTTCAAGTTATCTCTTCTAGCTAAACAAGTATTTCTAAATGGAAAGTGTTAGACTTGTTAAAAAGTTTTTCATTTTATTAAAGATTCATGAGTTTATAATTGAGGAAATCTCAAGCACTTGGACAAGAGGTAGAGCAGATGGCTTTTCAGGAGATCCATTACGGTACTTGTAACCAAATCACAGGTAGTCTATTTGTAAGACAGCTATAGGCATAGAGGCTCTGATGATTAATACTTCTGGATGAGAGTGGGAAATGAATGAACCTTTACTGGCAGCAAAAGACAATGTCATTCCAGGGGAGAGGGAAGGACATGCATAAGGCATGAAAATATGAAACATTAAATGTTGGAGACTACAAACATTTCTATATGCCTGGGTTATAGATTGTGTAAATGGAATCAAGAAAAGAAGCTGGAAAGGCACTTCTACAACTGGATTGAGAAAAGTATTTGACTTTAAACTCTGTCTTCCTAACAAATCTGATTTGACTGGAAAATTAGAAGATCCTCAAACAATCATCAGTCAGGAGAAAAGCGGTGTGAGAAATTTTTTTTTAATGTGGATGTGGACTCATGATCTAACCTTGTGAATTTAGCACAATTCTAACGAGAGCAAAAACCAGCGACATAATTAATTTTCTAAACAGAGAGAAAAATACTGCTAAGGCAAATCCAAGGTGTTCCCTGGATTTTAGACAAAATCAGTGGAAAGGAACCACACTGAAAACTATCTTGGCCTTCTGATTTGCTTTCTGTTACAAAGCATTATCCATAGCTAAATATGCAAACTGATATATTCAAACTCAAATTCACAATGTAAAAATTGTCAATCCACTCATTTTGCAACTGCAGGCATACTATGAACATCTACTACACTTTTTGCTGCCCCCTACTTTGTCCAACCTATGGATACCACAACAGACCTAACTCAGAACCCAAAACAGGAATAAAATTTGGCCTATATTCGATGGTTGGGACGTAGAGTCTAGGTAACTATGTCAGAATCACCACTTCTCTTTGAGGCTTCTCTCATTCATCCATCCCTCTGTTGCTTTCCTCTTTTCTTCTCTCTTGAAGCTATCTACTCAAGTCTTGCTGACTACAAACCTAATTTTCCTATTTTCTCATGGTCTTCTTTTTTAAAAACATTTTATTAGAGATGGGATGGTCTCACCATCTTACCTAGGCTGGTCTTGAACCCCTGACCTCAAGTGATCCTCTTGTGTCAGCCTCCTGAGTAGCTGGGACTACAAATCTGCACCACGGCGGGCTTCTTTTGGTTTTGAATCACTTCCATGCCCTTGTAGGTCTTTTGCTAGTATTTCTACAGGACAGCTTTCTCCCAAAATGCAATTTCTTTTCTGAAACCCTGTTTCTACCCTACTCCTAGGTCCAGCCTTCATTCCCCAGAGCTATAGCCCAGGCTAAGCCTTTGACCTTCTGCTTAATCTGAGAAGAAAATTTGGACTCTTATAATATTTTCAGCTAAAAATATTCTAGTGAGCAACTTAAGTCATTTTTTTTTCTTTCTCTGAAAGGAAATAAAAAGTTTGAAAGAGTAATACCAAACTAAGTAGGCATAGTTACTTCCAAATTCCTTAAATAATGATGATTTCCAACATTTCACAGGAAACATTATCAAATAATCCAGATAAAAAGATATGCTGCACAGTAAGTATATAAATGTAGCAACTGCCACAAATGAAATCATTTCTTAGCACTAAATCTTTTAAAGTGAAAAACAACAGTTTAGTGTGTTGGTACAAAAGCCTGTTTGAGCCATGTGCAGTTTGTGACAAAATCTACTGAAACTGCAATTAGTAATCTTCATGTTTTGATATATATTTTTCCCTGAAAACATATGGTCATAGATTTCATAGATTTTCAGTTCTAGTTTTTAACTTCTCACCCAAATTGCCATTCTTAATTCAAATTCCTTTCTGCAATGAAAGCACAGAATTTCAAGTGGTATTTTTTTTACTGTGTATGTGTGTGTGTGTGTGTGTGTGTGTGTGTGTGTGTGTAGACATAAAAGAACATTTCCAATGAGAGAAAAATACGTGTGGACCAATGTTATATGTTATATACACACACACACATAGGCTGTATATATGTAATTATATATATATATATATATATATAATTGTATATATATAATTTGGTGTTAAAAGGTCTCAATATAAGTTTTTCTTAGTTTTGACTGGTGCGATTCAGAATACAAAATAAGTAGACAGCAGTTATTTGGAGAGGGATTGGCATCACTTTGTCACTTTGTAGATGTTTTTTAGATGAGGCTGCTATTCACCATTTTCTTAAAAAAGAAATGCACCAAACAACATACAGCTTTTGCATTTTACATGCCTGTGAAACAGGTATAAAGTACTAATAACATTGATAAAATTTTAGAATTATACCATGGTATTCTTTTTCTTTTCAAGCTTTCAATTACCTCTTTATAATTATTTTATTTATTTATTTATTTATTTAGAGACAGAGTCTCGTTCTGTTGCCCAGGCTGGAGTGCAGTGGTGCAATCTCAGGTCACTGTAATCTATGCCTCCCTGGTTCAAGCCATTCTCGTGCCTCCGCCTCCCAAGTAGCTGGGATTACAGGCATTCACCACCATGCCCAGTAGAGATGGGGTTTCTCCATGTTGGCCAGCCTGGTCTTGAACTTCTGACATCAGGTGATCCACCCCCTCCTTGGCCTCCCAAAGTGCTGGGATTACAGGAGTGAGCCACCATGCCCAGCTTATTTTAAATATTTTTAAATTCTCTTATAAATAATGTGTGCATGGGCATGGCCAAAGAAATTCAAAATTTACATTTTATACCTATAAAAAGAAAATTATTCCTCCCACTGTCCACTCACATTTCTATTTCCAGAGTAACCCTTTTAGACCATTCCTATTTTACTCTTTTCTAATTAATCAATTTTTTCTTTCCATTGTGTCAGCACCATAAAGGTATTTGAGTACATTTATTTTTGATCGAGATTATGGAAGAGACCTTCCTATTTAATTGTCCTGGAGCAGAAATTCCATCATGCATGCTACTGCTTATTGCATCCTCCGTAGTGTAATAGACCTACCTCTGCTATGTAGTGGAGTTCTCTAGTGGACTTCTCACAACCTACACATGACAAATCAACTTTAGACTAAAACAGGATTTATATTGGAATGACATATAACATTGTTCCACACTTATTTTTCTCTCATTGGTAATATTCTTTTATGTCTATAACTCTTACTGTAAACATATTAGTTTGGTGCAAAAGTAATTACATTTTTCACTTTTTTTTTTTTTTGAGATGGAGTCTCACTCTGTCACTCGGGCTGGGGTGCAGTGGCGTGATCTCGGCTCACTGCAACCTCCGCCTCCCGGGTTCGAGGATTCTCATTCCCCAGCATCCTGAGTAGCTGGGACTACAGGTGTGCACCACCATGCCTGGCTAATTTTTGTATTTTTGGTAGAGACGGAGTTTCATCATGTTGGCCAGGATGGTCTCGAACTTCTGCTCTCAAGTGATCTGCCCACCTCAGCTTCCCAAAGTTTTGGGAATACAGGCGTGAACCACTGCACCTGGCCAGTTTTTGCTATTCCCCTCAATGGTATAAACCACAATTACTTTTGCACCAATGTAATTGGTGTTTCTGATGCCAATCAATTATTTTTACAAAATAATTCAAGGCAACGTTTTGTCAGATTTTCTGCTGCTTCTCACATGTCTAGTTAAGTTTCATCAATCAGGAGCATAGTTTTATATAGTTTGAAAAGTTGATGGGACTCTGTTTAGACAATGTTAAATCAATTTTGGCATGGTCCACTCACCTATCTCACTCCCCTCTGGTCAGAAAGAAAATTATATTTTGAGGGGGAAACAAACTCTCTTGGTCCCAACTGTCTTACAAAGATTTTCTTGGTGAAGCACAAACCTGCATGTCTCATTATTTATTATTGCTTTTAGGAAAATACTACATATATATATTTGTTTTACCATGTGGAGTTTTAAAAGGTTACATAAAAGGTTTGAAGACAGTATGCAAAAATGTGAAATCACTTCTAGAATAGTGGCTATTGTTTTTTATATTCAAATAATTCAGTCATGTTATTGTTATAGTAGTATATTTTGTTTTTAAAAAAATAATGTTTATAAGCATAACTTGTTAAGAAGTTTAGGAACAACCAAAGTTTGTATTCAAATGAGATGCTGGGGCACAAAGGACGTTTGGTGAAAAAGTCGATTCAACTCAAAAAAAATCTAGCGAGTATACGACGTTTCCCTACTTGAACTACCTGGCTCTGTCATGTTTCCACATCAGCCTAGTCTGAACTGAGCAGACACATTGATGTAAGTTTATTAGCCATCCATCTGAAGATAAGAGAGGAAGAGTCTGAAAGCAGTAAGACTGGAGAGTGAAGACATCTAAAAATCAATAACCACCCATATATGGCTAAACATGAGGCTTTCAGAAACCTCTATTAGTTAGACAAACTAACCAAAAAAAGCACTTAATAGAATACTGTATATTAAGTTATTCTGCATATAAAATAGAAAGAATGAAGTACTTAAAATGCAGAGATTAATATATTTATGTCTTTTAATGTAATAAATACATAAAAATCAAGAATTAGGCTTTTCCTTTTTGTCAATGTTTATGAAACAAAATAAACTTTATGAAAGAGAAAGATATGATTAAACCAAACAATAGCCTGAAGTAAAATAGTGATAGGGCAGACAAATGTAAAGGAAACTGCATAAGAAAATTCATCACAATACTAAAAAGCAGGTAGAATTAAAATTTACATTAGAAGCAGTTAAGTTCAGTCTAAAAAATCAAATCAATATTGTGAAAAACAATCATAAAGTACTATTTCAGTTACAGAAAAGAAAAAAACTAAAAATTTATAAAAGTTAAAAATACCTCTAACCTAGAGTTCAGCTAAAAGATACCTAATACACAATAATTAGTTCTTGAACAATAGTCAAGAACAAAGGGACCAGATAAAAACAAATATGTAAGGAAAGAATATTGTCCTAAGTTGAAGAAAGGCTTGACTTCAGAAGGTCTTTCTGGGGGTTTTTAATGCTTGATGGAGAGAAAAATCATATAGATAAACCCTTTAAATATATGTATACATACATAAATGGAATAAAGTGGGTAGCTAACAATTTGTAGTTCACATTTGTGCAGTATTCTCTAGTAGACACTTTTTTTTTTTTTTTTTGAGATGGAGTTTAGCTTTTGTTGCCCAGGCTGGAGTACAATGGCATTGATCTCAGCTTACTGCAACCTCCACCTCCTGAGTTCAAGCGATCCTCCTGCTTCAGCCTCATGAGTAGCTGGGATTACAGACACCCGCCACCACGCCCAGCTAATTTTTTATATTTTTTGGTAGAGATGGGATTTCAGCACGTTGGCCAGCTGGTCTTGAACTCCTGACCTCAGGTGATCCACCTGCCTCCCAAAGTGCTGGGATTACAGGCATGAGCCAATGTGCCCGGCCTCTAGTAGACACTTTAAAAGGTTTTACTTAGTTCATTCTTACAGCATTCTTGAAAGGTGGGTATTATCAGGTCTATTGTGCAGATATGGACAATAAGAATCAGATTAGTTAAGTAATTTGCCCAAGGACACACAGAGAATAAATGATAGAACTGACATTTTAGTACAGGCCTGTGCCATCCCAAAGCCTAGAATTCCCCTGTTTATATTACATCACTTCCCACTGGTGTCCATTTTCAGCGACTGGTTTTACCAAACACTTTAGTTAGGAAGAAACCTTTTTATCTTCATCTCATAGTAGACTATGCTTAGATTTAGCACACTGAATGTGACCTCTTTTTTTAAATGTATGATATTTACTGTATAAATTATCCAAAGGGTACATCTGTTTCCCCAATTTTAAAATCCATGGTAATTGTTCACACAAATAATTACAGAGAACCATATACCATATTCCACCTTTAAACATATAAGAAAAAATCTACAATAATCAATTATATGTCATATTTGTAATACTACACAGTAAATGAATTCCAAAGCAAGTTTCCACTTAAAATTATATATAGTCCAAATTTTATCCCAGTGATGCCAAATTTAAATGCTTTTCATTGTTTCTGATTTAAAAATTTACTTGACAAACTATCTGTAATGAATTCAAATAGGTTATATTTACAAAACACAACTGAGCTCTATAAAACCAAAGAAGCTATACAGCACAGTAATGTTTACCACATTTCCATTAGAAGTCAACATTCTAATTAATAGGTGGCCACAAATCTGTATTTCATGCAAAATAAAATTTATTTATAATCATCGTTTATTATGATTATGCTACCTTAAATTTATTGCACTCCAAATTTTATTAGAAGCATTAAAATGGAATTAGAAACAATTTAGCTACCAATTTACTGACATACTGTTAAAGAAAAAGTCAACTTCACAGGCTAAATTAACTCCATGTGTGCATTTAAATGCTGAGTGTACATTGTGCATATTGGTGCCTTGTGAACTGAACTTTGGATGAGGAATTCTATTCCAAAAACATGGGGAAATCCAAACTTAGTCTGGCATAAACCACTCTGGTCTAAAGCTAAAGTAATGTTCAGAAATGTAGGAACAATGTACACAGAGCTAAGATTCAAATATTAATAAGTTTCCCAAGTTCACAAGATTTATTGTAACATAAGATGTACAGTTACCAATTCAAACATAGGCAAATGCACCCACTTTCCCTCTTGAATACATAAATCATAGGATAGTTTGATGCATGTTTTTATTGGCCTTTGCAATTCCAAAAAAGGATGGACAAGGTTTGACTGTATCCTTTTTAAACAACTTTTTTTCTCTTTAGAAAAATATGTGGTTCACCATTGAAAATACATAGAAGACAATAAAAATCACTCACAACATCATTATGTAGTTATAACCACTGCACATTATCATGTATTAACTTTTTGTATTTCTATTATATACATAATACATACTTTCTTAATTTAAAAGGAGCATTTCTTTACATTTTTAACATTTGAACAATTTGCATATTTCCAAATGCTCTTATATTACATAATTTTTAATTATGTGTATAATTTAATGCACTCTATCACAGAATGTATATACTCTCCATAAGTACATGTTACATGTATATATATATGCTATAACTGTGATAGAATGCATTTATATTTAAATGATAGAAATAATTATGGAATTTGTTCATATTTTGTAAAAGAAACTATGCGAAAGTTATATATATATTTTATTTTTATTTTATTTTTTTGAGACAAAGGCTCACTCTGCTGCCCAGATTGCATTGCAGTGGCGTGATCTTGGCTCACCGCAACCTCCACCTCCTAGGTTTAAGCAATTCTCCTGCCTCAGCCTCCCGAGGTGCTGGGACCATAGGCACATGCCACCATTCCTGGCTAATTTGTGTATTCTTTTTTCTTTTTTTCTTTTTTTAGTAGAGACAGGGTTTTGCCACGTAGGCCGGGTTAGTATCGAATTCCTGACCTCAGGTGATCGACCGCCTCAGCCTCCCAAGGTCATAAATGTTTTTAAAAAAGAATTTATAAATACATGTATACTATATATATGTATATGTGTGTAAAACAGAAAAATAGGTCTTTGTGAACATCTAATTGTTTTTGGTCTTTTGACTGTTTCCAGATTTTGTAGTTGTAAATAACTTTGCAATGAACATTGCTATTGTTAGTCTTTGCACACATCCTTATATATTGCTGTGTTTTTTCAATGTCTGTTACATGGTAGGTATCTAATAAGTATTTGTTAAATGACTATTTTTCAAAGCATTTATAAATTTAGTAGCAAATTTATAATTCTGCCTTTAAGATCTTTCCAATACTGAAAATATATTAAATATCATAGTAAATTTTACTGCTAGAATTTTAGAATTAAACCAGGGCATTCTTTTTCAAGCCTTCAGTTACATCATTATCATTATTATAAATATTTTTAAATTCTGTTATGTGTGCATGGGCATGGCAAAAAAATTCAAAATTTATATTTTGTACCTGTAAAAAAAATTGTCTCTCCCACTGTCCACTTGGGTTTCTATTTCCAGAGTAACCCTTTTAAACCATTTCTATTTTAGTCTTTCCTAATTAATATTACCAATTACATCTTTCCATTGTGTCAGTACCATAAAGTTATTTGAGTACGTTTATTTTTGATCAAAGAGATTACAGAAGAGACCTTCCTATTTAATTGTCTTTGAGCAGAAATTCCATCGTGCATTCTACTACTTATTTGCATCCTTTATATTGTAATAGACCCATTCCTTGCTGTGTAGTCGACTTCTCACAAGCTAGACATGGCAAATTGACTTTAGTCTAAGACAAGATTCATATTAGAATGACATATAACGTTGCACTTTCTTTTGGCTCAAGTATTCCTCTTTTGTGGATAAGTCCACAAACAAACACAAACAATATTTAGGACATTATGGCTCATAATAACTTCTATCCTAATAGAAAGAAACTATATTATTATCTAGGATAGCAGAGTTTATGTAGACTAGGGTTATTCAGTGCATTGTCTTGTCATGATATAACTTATTCTATGGATGAGTTTTACACTTTTCCTCCAGATTTATTATGTAAATGAGCTTTCCTAATCTATACAAATTGCCAGTAACCTTTTCATGCTCTGAATTTTCTTGCCCCACTCTTACCAAGGAATTGGGCAAGATGAACTTTAAATAACAATGCTGAGTATGTTTTATGGACTGCCTCAACACTGGAGAACAGAAACATTTATATTATGGGTAAAAACTTTTGACATGGTTAAAGGAGGCTGCTGAGTTACTCATATTGGGGTCAGTACAAGATAGGTGTTCAGGAGGGCACAGGAAGTGGGGCCATGAGGAGCAGAGCCTAGAAAAACTAACAGGCTAATTCTTGAGAAGGCAGTGGGGTGGAATCGTCCTCATTCTCTTGCCTAGAGAAGCCAGTTAGGCAATTATGAACATAGTAAGAGAAATCCAGGCATGATGGAATGCCTAGGGTCGTAGAGTAATATGGAATTGTCTCATCAGAAAAGTACTGGGTAGCCTTTATTAAAAAAAAAAAAAAGTTGCTGGGTTTAACATAAAGGTCAAATCATCATCTCTGAATACTTTTCTAGCTATCTGCCTTTTTTTCCCACCCACCCCTGCAAACACACACATACAATTTCATGCCAAAGCAGGACACAATCTATTCAACCACTCTGTGTGGCTCTTATCAGTATCCTCAGCTACACAGACTTTCTCTTCCCAAATCTCTTTCCCTGTAAGACATATTAATATAAACACTTTTTCCAAATGTTTGGTGTTCTTGGATGTTTTTCTTTTTGGTTCTTTTTTGTTTTATGTTTTTGTTTGTTTATAATGTTACTTTAATAAACATCTTGTTAAGTATAACATATTAAAGAAAAGTGCATTCCTGGCCAACCTGGTGAAACCCCGTCTCTACTAAAAATACAAAAATTAGCTGGGCGTGGTGGTATGTGCCTGTAGTCCCAGCTACTCAGGAGGCTGAGGCAAGAGAATCACTTGAACCTGGGAGGCGGAGGTTGCAGTAAGCCGAGACTGTACTACTGCACTGCAGCCTGGTGACAGAGTGAGAATCTGTCTCAAAAAAAGAAAAAAAAGAAAAGTGCATACAGCATAAGAATTCATAACTTAATGAATTAGTAAATACATCTAACTAAATGGCCAGAGCCAGAATGTGTGTATAGGAGAGGTTAGGCATGGAATATGATTGGAAAGGGAGGTAGTCCTTGGGAGGTGACTTGAAGTTGCATTTACATAGCTCCATTCCCAGGAAATCAAAACAGGAGTAGTCAGTAAGAAGGAAACTCAATCCTAGGAACTGGGCCAACATAGAGTCAAGAAAGGAGTGAGTAGGAAGGGAAAAAGTGGTTGAAATTGAATTCTGAATTACAGAGGACATCAAAGAACAATCTTTCTCTAACTTTTCAGTGGTCCTATAACCAGTCTTGGTCACAGATATTAAAAGGATTAAAACACTTCTAAATATGTAACATTTTTATTCACATTTTAATTTTAATCTCACTTATTTTCTACCACCACCTTAGACAACGGGGCTTAACATGTCTCTACTCTGTATTTATGTATTTATGTAGAGCACTTAAAGGAGAGAACTCTGAGCTATGTGGATTGAAACAAGGAATTGGAAAGAGAATAGATGTGACTGGGATTTATAATATCTCACTCAACTGTATTTACAGAAACCATTATCAAGCAGAGAGGCTTAAGCAGATTTTTTACAGAAGTGTGCCCCTCCCTGAAACCCATGAGACTTTGTAGGAATTGCTAGAAGTACAGCTGCTTTCAAGCCAGATAGGATCATTAATTATTTTATTTTTGTATATCAGGCCTTTGACTCTCACTATTTTGATCAAAATGTAACAAAGAACAAAATTGTTTATTTTTTTTGGGTTTAATGATAGCATCCTGTTCTGATGAGATTTTTACATAAGAGAAAACAGGAGGCACTGAAGAAAATATAGATTGCCCAGGTACTGTTCCATGGGACATTCTTCACAGCTGATGACAAGCAGCAGTATTTCTTTAGAGTGACGGTTTTCAAATTGTGTTCCATAGGGTTTCATAGATATATTGCCATGGGGCTGAGAGCAGCCATGTGGTTCTGAGTTCCTGTCCATGAGTATAGCAGAGATGTTTTACCCTTTCCTATTGGATTATAGATTTTTTTGTAGAAAATATGACCCTAAAAATATTTAAATAAATTTTAAAAATCAAAACATACCTTTAAAATAGGTTAGTGTAGTAGTATTAAGCCCTACTTAATGTGTATCCATTTGTCTCCTATCTTAGGGTGGCAAGAAGGACATAGAAATGAGAAAGAAGAGATTTCAGTTGGGAAGTCAGAAATTTAGATGAGAATGTACGGGGACTCGGGCTTCTCAGTTTAAATTAGAAGTAGGTCCAGTATGTCCTAAAGATGTTACCTGAAAACAAAATGTAGCCATGAAAGCTAACTGAAAACTTTAATTCAACATCCATGTACTTTCTGTCAAGTACCTGTAATTTATTAGCCGAGAGAGAGAGTGTGTGTGTGTGAGAGGACTGAGACTCAGTCCTAGCCCTGCTGGTGGAGGTTGGGAGGGTGAAGTAGTAGAAGGACATTTATTGGGAAAGAGTAGAACAGACACATAATAAAATACTTATAATACAATGTAGTAATTATCCAATGCATATTTTTTCAATGGATATTTGAATGAATATAAAAAAGGCTGCAAGAGCTCAAAGGTGGGGCTCTTTTCCTGAAGAGATTATATGGGAACGTGGTATGATTGATAGGTAACAGTTTGTCTGGTGATTTGTAATTAAAAGGCATACTTCCATCATAGCACTATTAGGACTGTATTCCAATTGATGGTTCACGCATTCATTGAACAAGAAGTACTTACTACCTAATGTGAGAAAATCTGCTAAATGCAGATAACAGTAAGATAAGTAAAATGAAATAGCTATCCTGAAATAACTTACAATCTAGTTCAGGGATTTCTGATTTCTCCACAAATCTGGGGGTATGTTTTTTTCTTCGTTTTGATTTCCAGATCTTAGCCCAGTTCTTGGTATACAGTTGGATCTCAGGAAATATATATTGAATGCATGAATTCTCTTCGCATCCCTGAAAAGTAAGTTTCTTATCCCTTTGATTCATTTTAGCCTTGTAATGTCATCAGTACAACTTGTCATTACAGCCTTTCTACTATACTGAACCGATCACTAGAAACTGACACAGTGGGTAACATTGTTCACCCATACATTTTAAAGGGAGAACATTGGAGGATTATACTAAGAGCACGTAGATGATAGGACCACATGGGTCATACTTGGCCAAGCCCTGGATACAAAGAGTAGCTACAAATGCCATCTATTGACAGTGGATGGATTTAATAATGAGAAGATATGGTAATGTGGAGAAATGATAATATATTTCAAGCACTAATAACTACACATTACTGTGCCTGTCAATTTTACAGATATTTTATCCTCAATCTTAGCAACAGTCATGTAAAATGGTGGGGGCTTTTCCAATTTTACAGCAGAGAAGCTGAAGCATAGACAGTTGACATAATTTGCTCAGAATGACAGAGGCAGAATAGAGAAAGTTTTTAAAAATTAAATTTCAGTATCAAAATGAAGATATTTAAGGGAATCTGAAAAGGCAAGAATTATGAAAACCAATTTAATGCATCATCGGGGATAGTATTAGGGTCGGTGTTCCTGCTTATTATAATACACTTAAAAATTTGTAAGTTGTGTATAGAGCATATAGATGCTATTGTGTAATTTATTATGAAATATAGGTGTTAAAATCATTTTTGCTGAGAAGCAATTTATTCTCAAACAAGACTAAGATGCTTAACATTTAAGGAGTCATTTCACTTAGGATGAAAAATAATATAGAAAAATTGAGATCTTTACAGTTTGCAGTAGAAATGCCAAACAATTATATTTGTTCATAAATAGGTCAAGTGAATAATTTGTCAAACCAGGACACTTAAAATCTTTGTTATGTAAAAAAAAAATTGGTAAAATCATTTAATGCATGAAAATAACTGAAACTACAGGATAATTCAAAACCAACCAAGTAAAAATAGTCAAATAAGAAAAAACCATTGAATGTTTCTGCTCTTATTTTTTAGTTTTCTTAAACACCATGAATCTAATTTATCAGAATAATAATGATTTAGTAATACCCAATATTTT
Organism: Homo sapiens; assembly: GCF_000001405.40. NCBI lineage: Eukaryota > Metazoa > Chordata > Mammalia > Primates > Hominidae > Homo > Homo sapiens. The sequence continues at coordinate 104,167,152 of NC_000009.12, forward strand.
TTGTAAGTTTTACAAATACTTATTCTTATATTTTTCAAACTTCAATTTTTGGGATTGAAGTTCCAATTAAATTGGAGAAAACGCACTTCACCTTCTCTGTCTCACTTATAACCAAAAGCCCTGGACAAAGTGCATGAAGTCACTAACTGAGAATTCCGAAGCATACTTGAGAGGGAAATAAAAACTAAAAGAATTACCAACACATCTTCCTGTTTTTTTTTTTTTTTCTATGTCTCCTACTTTAGGTTTCAGTGTATCCCAAATCAGTGGGTGTGGATTAAAAAAAAAAAAGTCCAAGAAATTCTCTCTTCTTTTCCAGCTAAACGGAGAGAAAAAGGAGCCTTAGAATAGTTGTGGAGAAAATGACAGTTAAAAAAAAAATTATAGCAGTCCAAGACCCATGCAAGCTCCAGTCATGAAACTGTATTTGCATAGCAATAGTAGCAGTGATTATACAGCCACCTAAAACTGTGAGATAAAATCCTGCTCTTTGACCAAAAAAAACTTGGACAAGATGTTCCTATGGTCCAAAGAATGTGGAGGAAATTTTGGTTATCTCTCTTTTTTTCTCTTACCACTTTGCTGCTCATGTAGACCCAGTCATGAGAACTGTTTGGAAGCATGGGGCACTAAAATTATAGTTTAGTAGCCAGAGGATCAGGAAAAAATATTTCTTGGATATAGAATGTATGAGGAATGTCACAGAGAAGAGGGTTCCATAGTAAAAGATTTCTACATTTATATGTAAGTTCCCAGGATCACTCCCTGATTTGCACATGCACGGCACTGAGTTGAGGTATGCTAAAGTCTAAATCACAGACCAGATCCTAGATGGCACAATTAGCACTGCAAAAGTTTTGACAGCTAAACTGATATCTAAACTATAGCTCATAGAACACAGATTAAGACTTGCACCTAACCTTAATGAGATTGGTTGTTGCTAAAACAAAATGCCAACATTCTCAGGAATATGACAAAACCTTTATAATATTCATAGTTAAATACAATTAAAAATTACATGACATACCAAAAAAAGATCAATCTCAGCAAAACTCAAGGATCCTATAACATTCACAGATGCGAACCCTGAGATGACCCAGATGCTGGAATTATCACATTTTAAAACAGGAATTATAACCATGTTTTGTGAAATAAGGGCAAATACTCTTGAAACGAATGAGAAGATAGACATTCTCAATAAAGATGTAGGAACTATTAAAAAGTAACAAATGAAAATCAATCATAGAACTAAAAAATACAATAATGGAAAATTTTCAAAGTCTCGTAAATGGCTCACTTGCCAAATGGATATAAGAGAGGAAAAAATCAACTTGAAGATAGACCAATTGAAATTTTCCAATTTGAAAGAATACTAGAAAGTTAATATTCATGTTAGTGAAGTTCTAGAGAAAGAAGAGAGAGATCAGTGCAGGAAACTTATTTTGAAAAATAATGGCTTAAGATTTCCAAAACTGTATGAAAGACATAATTAAAAAGATATAAGGAATCTGGCAAAAGCTAAACATGATAAATTCAAAGAAAAATACATGCTGATACATTATAATCAAAGTAAAGAAAACTGAATATGAGAAAAAATATTGAAATCAGACAGAAGAAAGCAACACAGTACATATAGGGGAATACCAATTTGAATGACCTCGGACTGCTCATCAGAAATCATGTGGGCAAAAAACAGTGAAACTACAAAGGGCTGAGAGAAACAAACAAGACTACCCAGAATTCTCTGTTTAAAGAAAACAGCCTTCAGAAACTCAGGAGACATAGGACATTCTAGGATGAAATAAAATGAAGAGAATCTGTCTCCAGCAAACCTTCCCTGAAAGAAGGAAGTTGTGTGGGCAGAAGGATATCAAAAGGAAACTTGGAATTTCAGAATGAAGGGAGAAGAGAAATAGTAAATAAGTATGTACATAAAATACCCTTTTTGCTTTAGTTCTTTAAAATATATATGACCATGGAAATAAAAAAAATTATAAAATTATCTGATGGGTTTCAGACAATTGCAATGGGTTTTCCTGATCTTAACTATATATATGTTCTCCAAAGCACACCCCTTATCTTGTCAGCCTCTAAGGCTAACATTACAAGGGAGAAATATTGATGAATGAAATAAAAAAAAGTTTAGTGGAAATATTGTTATATTTGATATAAGAAATGGAAACAAGAGCTTTAAATTTTATTTAAAACCTCAGTATGTTAAAACAAACTAAAAATTGAACTTGATCTTCTGTTAGTGCAACTTATAAATATTAAGGAGGTAGGTACTTTTTTCACTGTTCCTTTTTGCCTAGTCTTTCTTCTTTAGTTTCTTACTTTTTTTATCCATGTTCTTTCCTCTTTCCTGTTTTTCTCTTCCTCCTCCCCACTCTGTCATACATAATATACAATAACTACAAAATAAAGAAGGTAGGGTAAAGAGACCTACATGGCTATGAAAATTCTATATTTCACTGGAAGAGATAAAATATTAACTTTAAGTAGACTGAAAAAAAAATATATATATATATATAGAGAGAGAGAGAAATCCCTATGGCAATCACTAACATAAACTAAAGGAAGACATAAAGTCAAAAAGCCACATAAAGTAAAATAGAATACTAAAACATATTCAAGTAATCCACAACAAATCAGGAAAGAGGAAACAGAAAGATGAAAGACAAAAGGATGAAGAGAAAACAAACAAGAAAATGGTAGACCAAAATCCAAGAATATCATTACATTAAATGAAAATGATCTAAACACATCAATTTAAAAAAAAAAGGACAGTCTTTCAGATTAGATTAACAAAAAAAGGTCCAACTATATGCTAGGTTAACTGTGCACTAGGGAAGGTAAAAAGCCAAATATTGTATGAAATGATGGACATAGAGTCTGAGTTGTACTGATACATGGAGGCCTAAAATGTCATCATGACTTGTTAAAATGAGAGTATATAAAGGCTTGATAATAAATTAAAACTGGCTCAAATGAGTCCACAGGGTACATGGGCCTACCTAGTAGTCATTTCTCTGATCCCAGGTATGACAAGCTGAGTAACAGCACAACACTTACATTGGATCTGTGGAGTGAAATCTGTCATAGCGTGAAATTCTAGGTGGAAGCCTCTGATACTGCAAAACTCCCATCTAAGCGAGCAAAAAAATAAAAAAATAAAAAAAAAACACCATATCCCATGAGGTTGGCAGAAATTAGAGTCAATGTAACAGAGTGTAGAGTTGGTGATTCCTGCCATTTCTTGACTTAATTCAACACTCTGGCCCCTGAACAAGATGAAAGAATCTTGGAAAATGGGATTATATTATGTCAGACTTAACCAAGGATTAACCCTGATTGTAGCCACAGTCACTATGTTAGATGAAATATCTTTGCTTGAGCAGATTAAAATAGCCCCAGATAGTGGGAATATAGCCACTGAATTATCAAATGTATTCTTTTTCATTACTATCAGAGTAAGGGATCCGAAATAGTTTGAATTCAGACAACACTATCTATTTACAGTTTAGTTCCAGGATTAAATCAATTTTCCCATTTGCTATCATAATGTACTATGAAGAGGTTTGGACACTCTAAACCTCTTGCAGAAAACCATGTTGATCCACTGTATCAATGATATCATGGTAATTGGTCAAGATGAACAAGAAGTGGCTAGAATATTAGAGGCCTTCTTAAGACACATATGCTTCAGAGGATGGAAGATAAATCCCAGAAACGCTCAGGGATATTTCACATCAGTAAAATTTTAGTGGTCCAGTGGTCATGGGCATTCCAGAACATCCCATATAAAGTAAAAAACAAACTATTGCATCTTGTACTTTCCAACACAAAAACAGAAGCACGCGGCTTGGAAGGTCTCTTCAGGTTCTGATGGCAGCATATTCAACCACTGGGAATACTGTGTTATACCGAGATATGGAAGCTTCAAGTGGGGCCCCAAACAGGAAAGGGCTCTGTAGCCAGGCCAGGCTATGATGAAAGCAGCCTTGCCACTTGGAACAGATGACCAAGCTCACCCTATGGTATTATAAGTATCAGTGTGGGAAAAGATACCATGTTGAATTTATGGAAGCCTCAAAGAGATATTCACAATTCAGACTTCTAGGGCAAGGCCAACGCTATCTATAGTAGAGACTTCAATATCTTTTACCAAGCAGCTCCATGTGTGTTACTGAGCACATGTAGAGCTAGAGCACCTAACCATGGGGTACCAAGTGACCTTACAGCCCCAGCTGCCCATCATTAGCTAGGTTCTCTCATCAGACTCACCAAGTTACAAAGCCAGGTGGGTCCAGCAACTATCCATTTCAAAATGCAAGTGTTAAAACAAGAATTGAGGCCAGCCATGGTGGTTCATACTTGTAATGCCAGCACTTTGGGAGGCTGAGACAGGATTGCTTGAGTCCAGGAGTTTAAGACTAGCCTGGGCAATACAATGAAACCCTATCTCTACAAAAAAATAAAAAAATTAGCCATGGTGGCACATACCTGTAGTACCCAGCTACTCGGGAGGCTGAGGTGGGAGGACTGCTTGAGCCTGGGATTTCAAGGCTGTAATGAGCTGTGATGGTGCCACCACACTCTAGTCTGAGTGATGGAGCTTTACTGTGTCTCAACAACAAAAAAGAATCAAGTACAAGTCCTCTGTTAGCTAGCTGAAGACCCACACATAATCTCCCACTCTTGCATAGTGCCTCTCCATCAAATCACACCATATGACTAGCTGACAGAAGAGGAAAAGTCATGAGATTGGTTCACTAGTGTTTTAGCTGTCAGCTATTCTAGGTTCTGCTTCCGCTGCAGAGACTCACTTTGCCCAGGGTTGCATTCCTTCTTGGGGTTGCTCATATAGAATGGATGATTTATAAAAATGTGTAAACACTTGGCTATCTTGACCCGAGTCAGGACAACTCTGAAGGAGTATTTTAGCTCCAGAGCAACTTTTGGAGTAGGCTGAGGCTGTCATTGGTCCTGCCACACAACTCGACTTCTCTCTACTCAAACCTGTTTCCTTTATGTCCCTTTTACGGGGACTGTCCCTAAGGGAGCTCTTTAGTAAACACATAGCAAACTAAACTCAGTGTTAGAATCGCCTTCTGGAGGAACCCAGCCTATAACAATATTTTCTACTCAATTTGAATTTTTCTATTTTGTGTTTGTTAGTCTGTTATTTTCTTTCAAAATTATTTTTGGGTAATTTCACGTCTTTGTTTTCTTATTCTGTATAATAGATACATTAAGGATTGAAAGACACATCGCTGGCCATTTACCTAGTTTTCTTCTTATAATATGAAATACTCTGTATCCTCTATGGTATTCATAACTGTGTTTGAATATTTCCAATGATGCACAGATTAGATAGTAATACACAGCTCTAATGTTTACAAAACCTTCTCTTATGATCAGCTGAAATCTACCTCCTGTGTCTTCTACCCATTTACCTTTGTTTGGTTTATTAATCCATTTCCATATGACAGTTTCAAATAAATTAAAGCGTCTAGCATGTCCTCTGCTGAATTTTCATGAGGCTAAATAAATCCAATTTTCCCAACATTCCTTATATGTTTCAACCTCTCATCATCATAATTCAAGCTCTTCTGTAAACTTTGTAAATTACACGTCCTTTAGCATAGCCACAATTCAATTTTTTTTAACTATTCTGACATTCCCCTTATGAAAAGGGGATCTTGTCCAGAGTATATATTAAAACAAATAAACAAAATGATGTACATTGACTGGAAAGAATACTTAAAGTCATTCAATTCTTTTCAAGTGTTAATTTACTTGAAGTATCCAAACCTTTTGATTTAATCTTCTACCTCCTCAAATATAATGACTTGCCTGTAAATGTTATGGTGGGAATTCTGGTCCCTTTGTAGGACTAATATGATTTAGTAATGGTATCATTACTCTGTGAAATAATTTGACAAATCGGGGGTAATTCAATTTTTCATTCTTTTACTTAAAAGTGAGTAACTGATTGTTATTCTGATTGGCATTACTAATGACACTGGGATTTAGCATTCTGTGCTCTGCTTCAAGGACAGCAAAAGGATAAACTAGCTGCCAATATGACTGACATTTTATGCAAATGACATGAATCAGTACATCTCTTGTACATGGCTCATTGAAAATTACAATTGCATATTTAAAAATGTATACAAGCCACATGTTATATTGGCAGCATGTGTTTTGGGGATCAGGTAACACATGACAAGAAACAAACATCCTTACATTGCTAAGGAAATGAGACCTCTGGCTATGTTAAAACATATTATTATTTTCCAAGAATGAAAAGTATCCACTTCAGTGAGAAATTTTAATTATTCAATTGCATATTTAACTGAGTATCAGAGAGGGCTGCAGTCCACGTCCTTTGATTACTTAGATGGCGATTTGATTTGGAAACCACAGTGATATGAGGTTTATGTCATTAGGAAGAAAAACTCATTAAATTAATTCCTAGTTTCTAATTTACTGTAGAGAATGATTAATGTTGAAAAGATTAGTTGGGAAGAAGATTGTTGAGTTTAGTTTTCTCATGGAACACTGAGGTTGTAAAAAAAAATTCAACTGATTTATCATTTTTATATTGTGTATACTTCCTACTTTAATGAAGAAGTTGACATTTGGTTCACTAAGATAATCAACTTTCCTAGAGATTCTGTCTTTGGTAAGGAGGTTGAACAGCATAATTGATGAAAGCAAAGGCTTTAGGGCCAGACATAAGTTTAAATCCCAACTCTTGTTACATGTTGGCTATGTAATCTAGTTTTATTTTACTTTTATTAGCCAGTTTTTTCATGTGTTAAATGAGAATGGCAGTAATAATCACATCATAAAATTGTAAGCTTTAAATGAGATAGTACAGAAACACTGTAAATGTTCTCAAATGGTAGCTACTCTCATTATATAATACTTTGGAACAGAATAAGATTCAGGAACTTTGGGGCAGTTAATGGTCTTTGAATATAAGAGAAAAATGACTAATACAGATGTTTATTAATAGTTGGAGTGTCGTGAGAGAAAAAAATCCAGCTATTCTGAATCCAAAGGCCATTTTTTTCTCCCACTTCTTGACACAGCACAATGGAGTATCTTGTGAAGAGAAGGTGTTTGATAACTCTTAAAGAGAAAAATGCAGGACATTTTCTTTGAGGCTTCAGGGAGAAAACCTATATGTAGACTGCACTGTAAATATTTGACATGAAGTAATCTCAAAATGGAAAGGAAAGGAAATGAATATTAAGTTTTTACTATGTACCAAACTCTGTAATAAGTACTTGTTCAAAAGTCGGTATCTCCATTATCATCATTTTCATCATTATCCTAATAGTAATTACAGTTGCCATTTATTAAACACACATTATATTTCAAGTACTTTAATTCCATTTAATCCCTACAATGACCCCATAAGGTATATATACAGGTTGAGCACCCCAATCTAAAGATCCAAACTCTAAAAGGCTCCAAAATCCAACACTTTTTGAGTGCTGACATGACACCACAAGTAGAAAATTCCACACCTGATCTTATGTGACAGGTCACAGTCATAAACAAAATTATTTAGCAGATTGTATAAAATTACCTTCAGGTTATGCATCTAATGTATTTATTAAATATAAATAAATTCTGTGTTTACATTTGGGTCCCATCTCCAAAATATCTCATTATGTATATGCAAAAATTTGAAAAAATCCAAAATCCAAAACACTTCTGCTCCCAAGCATTCTGGGATGAGGTATGCTCAACCTCTATCTGTTGATGAAGAAAGCAAGGCCTAGAAAGTTGAAGGAACTTGCCCTAAATCATATTGCTGATGAATATTGGCACCAGAATTGGAACTCACTTCTATTCAACAAAGACCAAAAGAAGCAAGAATTATTCTGTTTTGGATTGCTTTACATTGGTTTACATCAATACAACACAAAGGTGTGACCTTTGGCTAGTACTACAGAGGCCACAAGGAGGGATTGGGTAAGCCCCTAGCTCTGTGCCACTAGACATCAGGACCACCTTCATGATTTCACAGACTCCTTGTCTGTTAGACATCACTCAACAAAAACAGGGCTTCTGCCATGAAGGCCTGCACGTAAACCTCTGTTGCTATAGCCTTTAGATAACACCAAGTTTGTTCTAATCGTGCTACACCTTCAGCTGCTTTCCAGATGCTACCAGTCGACTGGGCACTCTGGAATTCATAAAGAGCTTGTTAGCTAGTGACATTCTTTGCCTCAAAAAGAATGGCTGGACAGCACTTACATGTGTAGCATAAGCTATGCCTTATGATGCTCTTAAGTACCTGTTCCTCAAATGGTAGTTCTATTCTATAGCTGTCTTTGAATTTTTTCCTCTTAATATGCATATATCCAAGCTTTACCACCAATGAGGAGCTTCAGGCTATTACATGGCTCACATGGAGTTTCTTTGATGGGGCCTCAGAATCTCGTTCTTGAACCCATAGATCCAGGATCCAACCTATAACTAAAAATAGGCGGTTTCCTCCTTCCCATGTTGTCCCCTAAGTGAATTATAGAATTTTCACTGCTGTGAAATAAACGTAAACAATAAAATATTGGTGTCATAACCAAAAAGCTACATTTAATACATTTTACATACCAGTTAAATTTACAAATATGGTCTCCAAAGCCACTTGGACTCTGGTGTGGACCTTCAGTATATAGCTATTGTATTAAATTTAGAATGCTTCTATTCAAAATCAGGAATAATCAGAGGCACCAAGAGGTACACAGCAGTCTCACAGGGGAAATTCTGTTGAAAGGAAACAATATATTACAGCAATAATATCTTTTTTGAAGTATAAAAAATGGCTGAAAGCACCTTAACTGGTTTCTTATCTGAGGCTCTGAAGTCTCAATAGTTAAAGCTATTTCTTTGTAGAGGATAAAAAGAAAACATCCCAGAAGCTCTAGTGAGTTAAAAGGAAAGGTCATTGATTGAGACAATCAAGGTGAATGATGCTCGTATGATGCCTAAGGCCCAGATTGAGGACCAGAGGGACCCAAGGTTTACTGACTTCAAGACAAACCTAATAGCTTAGCAGAGAGCTGGAAGGTCAATTGCGACATGTAGTAAATCAGACCCAATTAGTTCCCAATGCATGATTGTGAAATTGAGGAAGAGAAAGATCTGTTTGCCAATGGCTTCATCGGAAGCAATTTAAGTTGAAATTTGCATCACAACATTCTCAGAGATCTCTCTCTAAACCTTTATTACACAGGCTCACTGATGAGCTGTGACTGGAATATTTAAAGAGTGTAGTAGATTCCTTGAGAAGAAACAGTTTCGTGGGAAAAGGGAGAAGTAGAGAGGTTCAAGCTAGATTCACAATGGACATGTTTATGGAAAATAGTGAAAGGATATATGATCATGGAATTTTTTAACTTGAAGGAACCTTAAATTAAATAGCCCACCTTGTGCAGTTAAGGTCACTGTAACCCATAAAAGGTTATTCCAAATCATAGGTTCAAAGCTTGGATTGAAACTTAAGTCTTTATTCTAAGCAATATTCTAAACAATATTCTTTTCCAGAACATGACCTTACCAGCCAAGGAAATGTCAAAGGAAATAGGAAAAGGGTGTTTTAAAGGCTCACTGAACATGCTGAAACATTTACCCTGTGGTCAGTTACTGGTTTTGCTAGCATATTGCTTTAACAAATATTAATTTCAAGCCAGGAACTTTCTTACTTAATCCTTACAATTTTCTTGTGAGGTAGGAATTATTCTATTTTTAAATGACAAACTGAGGCTCTGAGAGATTAAATAACTTTGCTCAAGAGGGTAAGCTAATTTCTAAGTCAGATTCATGCCCCCATATCTTTTGATAACTAAGTCCAGTGTACGCTTCCTGAATAATTAAAAGTTAGGTTTTGTGAGTAGGTATAACCTGGCTCCAGCACACTGCTGCCACAGTCAGTTCCATAGGGAGCTCTAGAGTTGAAATATTGACTCAGAGACTTTTATAAATTGAGGAAAGGGTTTTGGGCATTTATTACCTGGCATTATTCAGCCACTAGGTGTCAGCTACCACCTTTGACCAAGGGCTATTCCTAGGAACATTAATACATGAAAATGATACTTTGTATTTGCATGATTATTGAACCATTTTCAGTAATTAAAACTAAACCAGGAGGCTGATGATTTATAACTGTATAAGAAAGAAAATATGGATTACTAAACTAAATGGCTAAATGAGGACTTTAGCAGAAATTGCTTCAGATCGTTCAAATGTGAAGTGACTTTTTAAAAACCTGCTTATGGCCCTCCTTTTGATTAACATGGACACTTCTTAAATGCATGTTGGCTTTGACAACACTCTTCTGACTTTGGAGGAAAAACGTCTTAGAAGAAAGGTGAGCTTATTTGGGTTTATCATCTCAATTTTTAAAAATATTTAATTGGCAAATAAAAACCATATATATTCAAGGTGTGCAATGTAATTTGTTGTACATGCACATCGTGTACTGATTACCACAGTCAAATTAACACATTCATCATAATGTATAGTTACCTTTTGTGTGTTTGTGTGTGTCTGTGTGTGTGGTGAAGACCCTCACAATCTGCTCTCTTAACATATTCCAAGTAAACAACAAAGAATTATTAACTACAGTCACCATGGTGTACATTATAATGCCAGAATCTATTCATCTTATAACTGAAAGTTTGCCTCTTTTGACTAGCATCTCACCATTTCCCCAATTCACTAGTCCTTAGCAACCACCATTCAACTTTCTGTTTCTATGAGTTCAACTCTTTTAGATCTCACATTTAAGTGAGGCCATATAGGTTTTTTGTTTTTTTTTTAAATACATCCAGTTTATTTCACTTAGCACAATGTCCTTCAGGTTCATCCATGTTGTTACAAATGCCAGGATTTCCTTTTTATGGCTAAATACTATTCTGTCATATATATATGATGTGTGGAAGACACACATCACACATCACACACACACACACACACACACCCATCCTTTATCATTCTTCTATCGATGGACACAGGTTGTTTCTATATCTTGGCTATTGTGGATAATGCTGCAATGAAAATGGGAGTACAATTATCTCTTTGAGATACTGATTTCATTTGCTTTTGATATATACACCAAAGTGGGATTGCTGGATTGTATGGTAGTTCTATTTTTAATATTTTGAGAAACCTCTATAGCATTTTCCATAATAGCTGTGCCAATTTACATTCCCATCAACAGTTTAAAAGGGTTCCTTCTTCTCCATATCCTTGCAAACACTTGCAAATTGCTTGTCTTTTTGATAATAGCCCCATCCTAACAGGTGTAAGGCGATATATCATTGTGGTTTTAACTTGCATTTCCTTATGATTAATGATGTTGAGCACCTTTACATATACCTGTTGGCCATTTGTATGTCTTCTTTGGAAAAATTTCTACAGATTCAATGCAATCTCTATTAAAATTCCAATGGCATTTTTCACAGAAATAAACAAAAAAATCCTAAAATTTATATGGAACCACAAAATACCTTAAATAACCAAAGCAATATTGAAAATAAGCTGAAGACATCATACTACATGATTTCAAATTATATTACAAAGCTGAAGTAATCAAAACAGTCTGGCACTGGCATAAACACAGACACATAGACCAATGGAATAAAGAGTACCAAAATCAATTCATGCATTTATGGCCAATTGATTTTTTTTTGAGATACAGTCTCACTCTATGGCTTAGGCTGGAGTGCAGTGGTGCAATCTCGGCTCACTGTAATCTCTGCCTCCTGGGTTCAAGCGATTCTTGTGCCTCAGCCTCCCAAGTAGCTGGGACTACAGGCGCACACTACCATGCCCAGTTCATTTTTGTATTTTTAGTAGAGATGGGATTTCACTTTGGCCTGGTTGGTCTTGAACTCCTGACCTCAAGTGATCCACCTGCCTCAGCCTCCTAAAGTGTTGGGATTACAGGTGTGAGCCATGGTGCCCAGCCAGTCAACTGATTTTTGATAAAGGTGCCAAGAACTTACAATGTAGAAAAGATAGTTTCTTCAATAAATGGTGCTGGGAAAACTGGATATCCACATAAGAGTGTAATTGGACCCTTGTCTTACACCATATACAAAAATTAAAATGGATTAAACACTTAAATGTAAGATCAAAAACTATAAAATGTCTAGAAGGAAACATAGGAAAAAAAGTTCCTTAATATTAGTCTCAGCAGATTTTTCAGGTATGACATCAAAAGCACAAGCAGCAAAAAGCAAAAATAAATAAGTGGGACTACATCAAACCAAAAAACTTCTGCATGTCAAAAGAAGCAACAACATAGAAAATCAACTTCTGGAATGGGAGTAAATATTTGCAAGCCCTATATTTGATACAAAATATATAAGGAACCCACATAACTCAATAGCAAAATATAAACCCAAATAACCTTGTTAACAAATGAGCAAAGTACCAGTCCTGCCAATTGCCTGTGGATCCTCAGATCAGAAACTGGAATGCTTATGTCTGATTACAGAAAAAAGGTATAAAAGATTTAAATATGTAAAGCAACTATCAAGAATAAAATAAAAGGCATGGTAAACATTACTTTGAAATCAAAGCTGCTAGCAGTTTAGAATATAAATAATTCTATAATAAATACCATTTTAAGCAAACATTACTGACATCCATTATTATTAAAGATAAATTATTAGAAGTAAAGGTACCTTTCTGGAAATGAGTAGTGTAGCTTTGGTAATGAATAAAAACCATAGAAAACGTGTTTGAAAATTTTGACCGTGAGAAAAGAGACAATATAACAGACCCAAGATCGCATTAAATAAACAAGGACATTCCAGGATCAGGGCTGAGATGCTGGTGCATATTAGTTGCAGCAGGAGTATCTAGAAGAAAACTAGGAGTGGGCTTCTCTATGAATTTTGCCAGTGGGAATGCTGAGGTTCTTGTATTTCATGTATAGATCTGGCTTATTGTGACAATCTCTGTCCTCAAACAAACTTTATATTATAGAGGTAGTAAAAGGTAATAAATGATATGATTCTATCTCTTTTTTCAAAGACATTCCAAATGACCATTATATTTATAAGGAGTTCAAGGCTATCAATGAGGATAAAGTGAGGGTGGATAGGTAATATGGCGAACAGACTGAATAAAAATGCCAGTGTTTGAATCTTTATATTTCAAAAGTGCATTTCTCAGATTATAAAAATAATGTAGTTTGTTACTGAATATTTTACAAAAAGCAAAATATAGATAAAAATGATCCATAATCTCACAAGCTTCTATGCTTATATTTATGCATAACAATTTTACATGTTAATATGGAAATATGTAACTAGAGAGCTAACAGCTCAGGTAATTACTTTGTTACACTAAAAGTTTGGAGAATTAAAGTTATTAATACCTGTTAGTCTCTACGCCTTAAGATTCTTACAAAATTAGTGGAGGTATTATTCTCACCTCTCAGTTAAGAATTTATTAATGTAAAATCCTTTGTCATGGGTGTGTTGATATGCAGTTAAATACTATTTTTAAAAAGAGCTTATAAAAGATGCATGCTCAAAGTGAATGGTTTACCTCATCAGTATCCTCTTGTTCAGAATCACCTACTATGTTGAAATTTGAGACTAATATCTCTGCATATAGAAAAGTAATTGATGTAGATTTACTCTAAGCCAAACATAGGTAAGAAGTTTCTCTAACCCATTTTCATGATTCTTTAATCGTTCTAGAGGTAATCTTTCTATGCTCTGTTTTCCTAAAATATGATAAACACACAATGATATAAAATTTTATTCAATCAATATATATTGAGCATTTAAAGCATTGTTATAAGTTAATTTTTTATTTTATGGAGTCTTTGCACTTTGCAACAGATAAGGGTTTTCCTTTTTACTTGACCACAAGGAAGCTCAGAATCAAATATGTACCTTTAGTACATAGAGGACATAATGGCTTGCACTTTGGATTTAATCCTATCCTGTATTTACCCATTTTTATTTCGCTTTACCTCATTTCTTTATTTTATTTTAACTCGTTATATGTAAGATTGCCAGACATTAAAGCTGAAATCTTAGTAACTTAATGCAATAATGGTTTATTTCTTGCTTGTGTACATTATGGGTCGGTGTAGGGCTCTATTCCATATGTCACTCGGTGATTCAATTTAAAGTTGTACCATCTGTAGCTGCACTGTCTAGAACATACAGTTTCTTTGGTCATTGTAGCAAGAGCAGAGAGCTTAGAAAGATACATTTGCTATTTTCACTGTTTCAGCTAGAAAGTGGCATACTTCTGTTTACTTTTTCCATGTTTCATTGACCAGACTAAGCCCCACATAATAGCAATGGAGTCAGAAAGTCTAAGTATTCAAATGGAATACTTGGTGAGTATGCTCTCTCTGTCTCAGTGTGCTTTTAATAGGGTTTTGAGAAGTATTTATACAATGAGGTAGAGTATAAATAAGTAGAGACATTTTTATAGGTCAAAAATAAAATATCAGCAGTTTCATGTAGTTCAGCCTAATAAATAAATACATAATGTAATGCTAACTTTATGACTTAACACCCTCCTTGCTCTCAGAAAAAGACCACCTAAGATCAGGGCAAGCCTACATGCAAATAAGGGGGCAAATCAGTGGGAGAAGTGCCATAGAAATATGTGCAAAGTGTGATGATATTAGAGAAGAAAGTGACTAGTTATATAAAGAACTCGTTAAGGAAGTGATAATCATTGGGAAGAGAAAATAAATAACTTCTAGACAGAGGAAGTGACATGCAAAGAGGCAGAAAAATTAAAGAAAATGTTATGTTTAGAAAAGCCCAAGAATATAGGAGAAGTAAAAGAAAGGTTAGCTTAAAATGAGGTTATAAACATATATAGGGTCAGACTAGAGACAACTTTGTATGTCCTGCCAAGGAATTTTGACTTTTTGCTGAAGGCAACTTGAAGTTACTGAAGGCCTGGTGTGATAGGATCAACTCTGCCTTCTGGGGATGAGAAAGGAATTATCCTACAGGAAATACTTGATATTCTAAGAAACAGATCTTCTTAGATACTTTTGTGTTCCTTTTACAATGTAGAGAGATCCTTTAAACTTTAGATGTAAAATCTCCCATCCCATAGGAGTCAAATATTGTAACAATCTAACAAAAAAAGATTTATGGGTATGGAATAGGCCAGGTCTCTACCACTGAGGGGAAAAATAGCTGGAGTGAAAATATTTATCAGGGTTCTACCTTGTCACCTGAACCTGATCACTGACATCTTTTGAAGTTCTTGGTATATTCAAAACAAAATAATCTTTTTGGAATCTTAAGAGTTAGATGGGACCTTGTGGGTTTCAACATCTAAACTCATTTTCTATATGAGAATTTTCTAATCATTTAATAAACTTGAAAGTGGTCATTGAGTCTTGTGCTTGAATAGGCCCTTGAGCAACCAATTTAGTCTCAAGACAGATTGTTCCATTAAAAGAAGGGAAAGTGTTTTGCTATTGTTTACCATTATGAAGAACAATACTTGAGAAATGGAAGAAAAAAAGAGTCTGGCTAGCAACCTCAAATAAAGTCTTTGCAATTTTAAACTAAAATACCTATAAGATATATGACTCACGATAGTGGAAAAATGTTATTTAAAACAATAATAAACAATAACTACTTCCACTTTCTAAGACCTTAGTGCATTTGGGAGGTAGTTTATATCAGTGTGAAAGCAAATCTCTGCTGACCTCTTCTATGAAAAAGTTTAATACAATATTTCAAAGTCTTTGCCAGTTCTTCAGTCTTGTGTTTGAACCGAGACACTAATGAATCTTTGGATACGTGGGTGCTGGAGATGCAGAAACAAGAAGGGCTAACTACTGTGCATGATTAAGTGAAGGGGATCATTTGAAGGGGAAAATCTGAAAATTAGAAACTTAGCCCTTCATTAAGGTCTGCAACACAGGCAAATCCCTTGTGTGACTGATGATTTAGGGCTTTTCAGTCAAATTCTATTAGCCTTGTAAAAATGTGAAAATTCTTTTCAGTATCTGGTAATAGTTTTTGTTATTATTAGTGCTGTAACTTAGATGTCAGCTAAATTAACCTAATATTTGAGGTTGAAATAATAACTTATCCAAAATCAAATTTGTGGGGTATAGAATTCCTAAATTATTGTTGACTCTCTCTTGAGGTTCAAAGTGGCATTAGGGAACAGGGTTCTTCCATTTCAGGAGAATCATCCACATTGTCATAAGAAAGATGTTTACTGTAATATAAATGGGCATTTCTTTTACAACATGCATTCTCAACACAGGTGATAGGATCCACAAGAGGATGACAATTTGCACATGGGGGAAGGAAACACAAATTTTACTTTTATGTGTAGCGCAGATTACATACATTACATAAAACGACATACGATATATATGTAGTATTAAAATTTCATGGGAAAATGATCAGAAAAAAATCTAAAAAGGCTCCTTAAGGCTCCTTACTGTTTTACATTTACATAAACTAGGGTGTGTATAGTGTCTCATGATGTTGTGCAACATGGTGGCCCTGGGTGGGACAGGGGATCTGTAAGTTTCCAGCTTCCCTTGAATTGGATAATGTTATACATCACCTCATGATGGCATGTCTGTTTCCTTCAGTGCCACCTAGAGAATGTACTATTTTCTTTATTCCTTTAAAAGAAATACAAAAAAATCCATCAGTCTCCTTCAATCTGTTCCTTGATTCATAGACACAAGGGCTCAGCACTGAATAAAAATGAAAATACATTATTTTCTTCATGAAGCCCTTCCTGTTCTCCTTAATCAGAAGTGAGTTCTCCCATCTCTTTAACCACCTAGCAATTACTTTTAGACCTCAAAAATTCTACCTCTTAATTATTATATATCCTTTTTAGCTTTCTTGCAGCGGTCTAAACTTCCTGATGTCAGAAACCGCCTATTATTCATTTATGAATAGCCTCTGCTATGTTTTATAGAATGCCTTAACTAACACTGTAACAATCTACTTCATATAAATCTGGAGGTGGGGTTGAGAAGAAGAGGAGTTGGGAGTAAATAAAGCTTTTAATACAAATTTTAAGACTACTCAAATTTGAGAGGAATAATGACTCACGAAAAGATTCTAATAAAATGTAATCATTCTGTTAGGGAAAGAATAATGCATGCTTATTCATAATAAAACTAATTCAAGTTCATTTTAGCTATAAATTATAAAAGGAAGAATAAAATATAAAAGTGAGACAGGTTAACACACACATGTGCATACTTCTTCCAAGAGAATCAGAAAGCTATACAGGGAGACTTGGGTGGTGTCATCTGAGCAGGCCTTCGCGTGGCACTGCGGGCAACCACAGGGGAATGAAGCCCAGCTCTGGGCTGTGCCATATTGGCCAATCTTTAGTCTGTATTTTTTTGATCTGCCTCTTAATACCTATCATAATTCAGTCCTGTTTCCCTCTACATTGCTTCCGTGAAAGTTTGTAATTTTTAGAAATCAGTTCTCATTTATTTTCAATTTAATTCATTTAAATATGCTAATGGAGTACCTTACATATTTCAGGCTATATGTGAGGCATGAGGAGTTACATAGAAGTATAAGACATATTCTCTGCTTTCAGGAAGACTTTATGGAAGAAATGGCTTTGAAGTTGGCTTTGAAGAACAAGTGGGATAGTTAGATTAGAAAAGGAAAGAGAGGAAAGGCATTTCAGGCCAGGCAGCAGCATGTGAAACAGCATGGATTCAGAGGCTTGAATTGTCATGTTCAGACTACTAAATTGACAGTATATGTGAACCATAGGGCAAGTGGGAGGAGAAGTAGTATTTGTAACAATTCAGGTAGGACTTATTCTCTGCTGGCTGCCTGATAAAAACCTGCCTTTTCAAGTTCTTCATTTCTAGTGAATCTGTCTCCTCTGCTCTAATCCTGAACATGGCCTGTTTCCTAATCCTAATTAAGTGGCATTTGGTATCTCAGGGGAGAAAAGTCATCTCTTTTGTACTAATAATTACTATAGTTAATTATATTATAAAGTTAATTATATCATAAAGATAACACATGCCTAATTACATCAAATATAGCCTACACTCGATTAATTATTGAAACAAATATTTGGGGGCATATACTCAGCATCACGAATAGTGTAATCATTAAGCCTATAGACTTAAGAATTGAACAAATTGTTTACCATATGTAACTCTCACTTCTTCCACCTTTAAAATGAGAAGAACTCTGTCTCACCAGATAGTTTTTGAAAATTGAGATAAATCTTTTAATGCATCTGTCTTGGTTGCTTTCATTTGCCACCTCCCCTCCTGACTCTGTCCCATTCATTCTTTGTCCTTCTTCAAACTACTCTGTGCCTCAAGACTGATCCCTACCCACTTTATGGCATTACATTCAACCCTCTTTTTTTCTGTCTCATGGCCTTTACTCCACAACGCCAGTTTTCACTGGGCCACAGAATCACTTATTCTGCCTCTTGTCCTTCAGGCTTAAGTGTCAGAATTAATGGCTTTCACTCCTTTGTAGCTCCTGGGAACTTCAATATCTATTTTTGGTTTTCTTATCTTTGCCCAGTTCTCTGTAAATAGTCCCTTCATTAATGACCCTTGAGTTAAAACCATCTGAGTAAATTTTGTTTCTTGCAGGATCTTGACCGATGAAGAATGTGATCAACAGTTTGCATCTAGCACATAGCTTACATTAACTAAATCTTAGCTATTTTTCACTTTATTCATTTTTTTCAGCCTTGTTTGGTGGTGTCTTTCTTGTGCTAAGTTCATTAAATTATAATTAAATGTATTTCAT
Source organism: Homo sapiens (assembly GCF_000001405.40). Taxonomy (NCBI): domain Eukaryota; kingdom Metazoa; phylum Chordata; class Mammalia; order Primates; family Hominidae; genus Homo; species Homo sapiens. The sequence continues at coordinate 104,185,967 of NC_000009.12, forward strand.
TCTATCTCAACCACCTAAGTTATTCTGATTTGTGGATCAAAGGCAAATATCCATCAATTTATGACTTAAGCCAAAAAAGCAATGAATATTTGAGTGGAAGACCTTTTTCCCCACGTCTGGGCCAATTGAGAAATAGAATCTGAAATCAAGGATCAAAATATCAGCTTTTAAGTAAATAATCTGCTTTACCTTTTAAGGTAAACTTTTATTTATTTATGATCATGAGATTCACTTGAGTTGTTGCATGTAGCAGATCTTCATATTATCTGTATTCATTCATTTTACCTTGGATGGACATTTGTATCCTTGTATGTGGGGGCTTTTTATTAATACTTCTATGAGTATTTTTGCATATAAATCTATGTATATTTCTGTTGGGAATGGAATTGCTGGCTCAAAGGGTATGCACATATTATGCTTTAACTCTGCTAAACAGGTTTTCACAGTGGTTATATCAATATATGAAAGTTGTAATTGTTCCACATCCACATTAACATTTGGTATTGTCACTCTGTTCCACTGTAAGCATCCTAGTGGGTATCTACTGGTATCTCACTGTGTTTTTTTTCCTTGAGTGCATGTGTGTACATGCAGGATGTGCATATGTGTGTACATGTATCATTGTGGTTTTAATTTGCCTTTCCATAATGACTAATGTCATACATGTTGTCTTACTTATCTACTGCTGTATAACAAATCATCTCAAAAGTTAGAAGCTTAGACACTAATCGTTTTACTATCTCACAGATTCTGGAGATCAAGATTTCAGGAATGCCTCAGTTGGGCAGCACTGACTTGGGGTCTCTCACGTATTTGCCATTTGATGGTGGCTGGAGCAGCTGAGGGATGACCAGGCATCTCTTTCTCCATTTAGTCCAGGTTCTTTGTTTGGGCTCCCTCAAGCCTGATGACTATAGAGCAATCAGACTATTTTCTTGGTGGCTGAAGGCCTCAAGAGAGAGTATTCTAGTGAACAAAATTGAATATATATTGTCTTTTTTTCCAACGCTGTGTTTTGATTCAACTGTCCAAAATAATTTAGAAAGCTCAAGAGAAGGAAAGCCTAATGTATTTACTCATATTTTTGCTTCTTACCTTCCTGATGTTTCAAGATTGCTTCTTTTTTATTTCCAAAGATTTAGAGAATTTCCTTTAGGCATTCTTGAGAAGTAGGTCTGTTAATAGCAGGTTGTTTTGCTTTTTATATGTCTGATAAAGTCTTTCTTTCCCTTTCATTTCTGAGGGATTATTTTACCAGATATAAAATTCAGAGTGGATTGTTTTTTCTTTTATTTACATACTTGAAAAATGTTATGCCATTTCCTTCTGGCCTCCTTGATTTTTGATGAGAAATCAGCTGTCATTCAAACTATTTATCCACCATATGTAAGGTGTCATTTCTTTCTTGCTGCTTTAAAGGTTTTCTTTGTCTTTACTTTTCAAAAGTTTGATTATGATGCATCCTGGCATGGATTTCTATGGGCTTACCCTTTTGGGACTATGCTCAGCTTCTTAGGCCTGTATCTTTATATCTTTTGCCAAATTTGAATACTTTTTCAGCCTTATCCTCTTTCTCTTCTCTTTCTGGAACTCTAATGTCAGATCTTTTGTTATAGTCCTACAAGTCCCTGAGGTTCTGTTTTGGTTTTTGTTGTTTTAGTCTATTTTTTCTCTGTTGTTCAGATTGGTTAATTTCTATTGTTCTATCTCCAAATTCTGATTCTTTCCTGTATCTTTGTCACTCTTCTCTTGAACCCATCCAGTGAGCCTTCATTTCAGTTAATATGTTTTTCAGTTCTAAAGTTTCTTTTGGTTCATCTTTATTATTTCTATTACTTTGCAGAGACTTTCCATTATTTCATGTGTTTAAAACATTTGTAATTGCTCATTAAAGCTGCCTTAACATCCTAGTTGAGGTAGTTATAATATCTGTATCATCTTGGTGTTGGCACTTATTGATAGTCTTGTCTTGTTCAAGATGAAATATTCCCAGTTGTTAGTATAATGTTTTATCGAAACCTGGGCATTTGGGTATTATGTTATGAGATAATGGATCTTATTGATATTTTCTATTTATCAGGTCTGCTCTTGTACCACAACGAGGGAAGAGAGGGGCACCACAGTGCTACTACCAGGTTGGGGTAAAAGTTCAGGTTAAATACTTGGCCTTCTTTGACACTCCAGGGCAGGGGTAGGAATGTTTTATTATTGTTGAGTGGCAGTGGGATTTCAGGATCCCTATTAGACCTCCACTGATATCACACTTGCTGGGAAGGAGAGGGACATCTTGTTTCTGGTCTCCATGTGGCCTCTACTCACAGAATAGGAAAAGGGAAGAGAAAAGCCTTGTTACCCACTGAATGGTGGTAAAAGGTCAGGCTTCTGACTTGTCCTTCTCTGATACAAAAAGGGCGAGAGCTGCTTTATTGCCACTGGGTAGGAGGTGGAAGTTCAGGATCTCCACATGGCCTTCAGTGATACCATAGGGTGTTGGGGCTCATTACTCCTGGGCTGTGATGAAATTACCAGTTCCCTACCTTGTATTTTTTGATACCAACTGGGCTTGTTTGGGAGGCAAAGGTTGCTTCATTATAATCTTATTAAGTATAGTCTAGGCTCCTACCTGGACTTTGAGAATGGAGGTTTTTGTAGGGCTGCCACTTTTCCATGTTGTTTGGGATAAGGTGATACTACCTAAAAGTTTTCTGTCTTATTAGGTTGCCTCTGTCCTGGTACTTCAGCTAGACAGAATTCGTTTTTTCTCTTTGTCTGCTCCCATTGATATTTCCAGGTTGCCAACTTCTCCATCTCTAAGTCTGAGATAAATGTGGCAAAAAGAAAACCAGGAAACTTACTGCCATCTTATTCTTTGGGTCCAAAGGTCCCTGCAGCTCTGTCTTTATCTCTTACCTTTTCAGTGTCTTCTTACATTTATTTTACACATAAGGTCCAGAAGTTTTCAGAATAATTAGTGAGAGGAATAGGGAGAAGTGACTCTATTCTATGTTGGTCAGTCAAGTTTATTTTTGGTGGAAAAAAAAATGTCCACTGCCTGGGTGCTAGGTCTGAATGTGCTTTTTGCTGCTTCTCCCCTGTACTGAATTTACCTATCTAGTCAGGTATAGAGCATCTCAACAATCCAGATATTCCAGGAGAGAAAAAAGGAAAGAATGTGTGCAATCTGTAGGGCAGATAGATTCTTAGAGCCAGTGATCCTCCCCCTGGTGACCTTCATTCATTCAGATAAGGCCTTCCTTCTGTGGATGACAGGAGAGAGGGCAGAATATTTTCTTTTAATACTTTCAAGAGACTAGCAGCTCCTATTTTATAGTCAGATGCCCATAGAGTGAGCGAGGGAATTGTTCCTCCTGCAATCAGGAACTGAGGTGGGGGGAAAAAAAGACTTAATTTGCATATTATCTCAATATGTAAGTGCTTTTTGGAAATCTATGTTCATGAACCTATACACCAGTGAGATGACAACTACCTAGATTGTGCTGAAAATTGCCTATTTGGCACTGATACTTAACATTTTATACTATAATTGTGTACCATAATCCTGCTTATATGCCATCTCTTGATTTACCTGTGACTCTGAGGCATTGTTGCTGAGCTACTTCATGCCCAGAGCACAAAGGCTACACTCTTTTCAGAATATCGAGGTAAGTAGTTTTTAGCAACTCTGTGTTGCACTCTGCAGAGGGATAGGAGAAGTAGCTCAAGTGTTGGCAACAATTAAAGATGACAGTGATACAGGAAGAGACTATCACCTGAAACAAAGATGAAAGCAGAACTTAGAAAAAGAAGTGGCTTCAAGTTCAATACTGCCAAAGTCCACAGGGCTGTCTGATGCTCTTCTTTAAAAACCTAAAGCTGTCTTGCACTTGTGCCTTCCGTAGGTAAAAAAAGTGCACATTTTTAAATACCATAAGTGGGCTGGAATTCTTGAGTTTCCCTCTGGCCTATATTTTGTAATTATCTTTCAACATTCTTTCAGGAAAACACTTAACTGAATTTCTGCAATCATCTTTTCTGTTTGAATTTGCAGTTACATACAGGACATACACATTCTTGCCATATTGATCCAGCAGCCCATAAAAAAGAGACAAAATTTTTTGTTTCCTTGTTTTGCAAAGTTGAGTAAGTGTGACAGAGCTGATCAAATATAGAAATGTAATGCTTACAACTGTGCTTAGTTGTAAAATTTTCTGATGTCTTATGTCTGTGTTCATTATCAATTGCAGCACTATTGAATAAAATGTAAAAGTCTCAAATATATTTATTCTTTATTGGGATAAAAAAATCAATGTTTCAGGTCTGAAAACTCATGACAATAGCAAGCAACTTATCTCTTTGAAGAAGCAAAAATATGTGATTTTTTCCCTTAGTATTTCCAACATTGAAAATTTATTCTTATCTAGTAATGTCAGTTTAAGGTCTTCATATAAGACTTAATATTAATTACTTAATCTCATCATATAATATCCTTATTTGTACCATATATTGATTCTGTTAACCTTTCACACCTATTCGATTATTCAATTTCCACATTAATTTGTAGCATAGTAAATAAAGGCATCAAACAAATGAATACATGTATTTTTAAATTATACAAAAAATCTGAATATGCTTGCAGGAGTAAAAATTCATTTTCTAATAGAAGTAAATAAAATAAAAAGCTAAAGTCTCTCATTATTCAATTCCCAACTTCTATAATATTATTTTCTTCTCTGGCTGTAACCCTTAATAATTTGCTCTATATGCCTTCAGAACCACACACGTATATATGTGCATATATGCATATGTATGTATATATTATACTCACACATGCATATACACATTTTATAAGATATCACTGTAATTAATGGTTATGCAACCTGCTTTTTTCATTTAAGTACAGCACATAGAAATCTTTCTTATTCTTTTAAACAATTGGATGGTATTATTAAAAAAAAAAACTATTTCTCTATTGATAAATGTTTAGGTTGTATTTTTTTTTTTTCTTGAGATGGAATCTCACTCTTGTCACCCAGGCTGGAGTGCAGTGGTGCAATCTTGGCTCACTGCAACCTCTGCCTCCCATGTTCAACCAATTCTCCTGCCTCAGCCTCCTGAGTAGCTGGGATTACAGGTGCCCACCACCACACCCAGCTAATTTTTATATTTTTAGTAGAGACGGGGTTTCACCATCTTGGCCAGGCTGTTCTTGAACTCCTGGCCTCAGGTGATCCACCTGCCTCGACCTCCCAAAGTGCTGGGATTCCAGGCATGAGCCACTTCGCCCAGACAATTTTTTGTTTTTATTCATCCAATCATTCCATGGTTTTTATTGATTTCTTTTTATATGCCAAATCTCCACTAGGTGCTCAGATCTCCAAGAGCTCAGATTCAAATATGGGAAATAGAAAAAAAAGAAGTAAATCAACATTACAACTTTTGTTCAATGCAACAAAGTAAACAAAGAGGAAATCGAGATAATGGGAGAATCCACATTAGATAGTGTTCAAGAGAAGTGGTATTTGAAATCCAAAGAACAAAGACACACCCTTCTGAAAAGGGGAGGAGAGAGGCTTCAAAGCATGGGGTAGCATATGCAGATGTGCCATAGCAGGAGCTTGGCATGTTCAAAAAAATGAAAGAAAGCTCATGGTCTAAGAGGTGCTGAGAGAGGCAGAGTGTGGCAGCTGTTGCACGGGGACCAGATGGTGCAGCACCTTGTACACCACAGTAAGATGCTTCGATCATATCTTACATGAAATGAAAAGCCACCAAGCAGTGAACTGATACAACATAATGTATTTTTAAAGAAGATTTTTGGCTGCTATGTAGAAAATGAACTAGAAGCAGGCAAGAGGGAAAAACAGAAAGGGTCATTATATTCAACCAAAAATGATGAAAAACTAGATTAGAATCATGCAAATAGAAATGAAGAGAAATGTATGAATTTGAGGTATATCTTTCAGTTAAAAATTGTGTTAGAGTTGATGAACTACAGTAGTTAACTTTTCCAACTCAGCAATATGGACTTCTCATTCAACTTACAGTCGGCTTTTCCAACTCAGCAAGGCTTCAAATTATGGAATTCTCAGCCTCAGGCAGAGAGTATTAGCCAGCTATATTTCATTTCACCTCTGTTTTCAGTTAGGTTCACCAAGTTTACTAGAGGGTTGTAGCATGGCTCAGGAGCACATTTTTGAGAACTGTGACAAAATAAATAATTGAAGCTTTGTTCATTTGCAATAAGATCACATATGAGTCCCAGGTCTCCAAGTTTCCATATAAAAATAACGCATTTATATAAAAAAACTCATATTTTTAATTTTAAAAAATTGTAATAAAATGCACATAACATAAAATTTACTATCGACCATTTGTAAGCATACAGTTCAGTGATTACATTCATATTGTTGTGAACCATTACTACCATCCATTTTCAAAACTGTTTTCATCTTACAAGATCAAAACTTTGTACCTATTTTACAATAATTCCCCATTCTCTCTTCCCCCAGCTCCTGGCAACCAACATTGCACTTTCTCTATTATTTTGGCTACCCTAAATATCTTATATGAAGGTAGAATCATTACAGTATTTGGCTTATTTTACCTAGCATAATGTTTTCAAGGTTCATCCATGTTGTAGCATGTTTCAGAATCCTCTTCCTTTTTAAGGTTGAATAATTCCACTGTGTGTACCACAATTTGTGTATCCTTTCATTTATAGACAGATACTAGGGTTGATTCTATCTTTTGGATATTGTGAATAATATTGTTATGAACACGGGTGTACAAGTATCTCTTAGAGATACTGCTTTCTATTATTTTGGATAAAAGCCTCTTATGATTTATATTTATCTTTCTTTACTGATAAATTCACATTTTTATACTGCCTAATGCATGCAAATCAGAAATCATGAAAATGAGGGGCCAAAAGTGTTTCTTGTAACAGTGTAATGTCATAGAAATGTGTACAGAATGTAGTCATTGCAGCACAGGTAAAAGCTTAGGGCCAATTCTTTGTAGCTTTTTGATCTTGGGGAAGTTAACTTTTCGGAATCTCAATTTTCTCATCTATATAATGGGACAATGATGCCTTCTCAACATACAAGAAAGCTGTTGTAAGGATCAAAAGGGAAAATGTAAGGAAAGTACTTTATAAAACTGCAAAGCAAAATGTAAATATAATATTAGGTAATAGATAAGCAGCTTTTTGAATCTGAAAGCTGCCCAGTGACCATCATTAAGGTTTCTTTTTGTCTTGTTTTAAACATATTTAGCAAGTTATAACTCACATACAATACACTACACATGTTTAAAGTGTACAATTTGTTAAGTTTTAGCATATGTAGATGCCTATGAAACCATAATTACAGTCAAGATGAGGAACATATTTATCACCTCCAAAAGTTTCATCTCCTTCCTAATCCTTAGCGTGCTCCCCACCCATCCCACAATCATCACCAGGCAACTGATAAATTACTGTCTCTATAGATTTGTTTGCATTTTCTAGAACTTTATTCAAACGGAAATATTCAGTACATACTCATTTGTTTGACAGCATAGGGTTGCAATGCCCTAGTTCCCCCTCTTACTCATTAGATGATGTTTTATGACCTCATCTGACCCTGCTGACTTCCTCATGAAAGAAAACCAAGGAGAAAAGGACCTAGAACCCCAACAGGGACTAAGTATTCAAGCATTGTTAAGTATTTATGCCATATCATCTAAGTTGTAAGAACATCTGAATCATTTTAAGAGACTGCTACTTTGAAATTAAGTAAGGGTAGAAAAGGAGATAAACTGATAAAAGAGCAAATGTGAAGGTATAAGAACGTTCATTGAAACTTGAAATGGTAAAAATAACTGAAAAGAATTTAAATGCTCATTAATAAGTGATTGATTAAATAACAAGTAACAACCATGTAAAAATGTGCTCTGCATTCATTGCCATTAAAAGATATGGCTAAAGATGTAGAATGCATCCTGGAGGGATAACCACCCAGATGTTGACAGTGGCTCTTTTTATGCCTGAATAATGAGACTGGTGGTGGTAGTGATGATATTGAAAAGGGATCTTTCCTGTGGCACTTGAATTTTCTACAAAAACCAATATTTTATTTGAAAACAGAAAAATTACTTTAACACAAAATAGTCCCTGAAAAGCATGAATAAATGCTATCATACCAGCCAGATCTACTCTTAGGCATTAAATTCAAAAACACAACCATAGATAAATGTTTGCAAGGGATTATATACATAAATATTAACAGTAATTGTCTCTGGATGATGAGATCAAGTGTTGTCTTTACTCTTTAAATTTCTGTATGATCAACAGTTGAACCCTAACCCTGTATCCGTGATAATAAAAAATACCTTTCATTTTGAAAGTAAAATAGAAGGAAAAGGCATTCTAACCTGCATTCAAGTCCATAAGGTAAAAAAGAACAGTCCTATATTTTTGGATTGCAGTAAAGGAAAAAATGTTAACTACTTCTGGTATAATAATGGACGTGTTTGTGTCTCAATCTTACATTTCTATTCGGTATTAAATAGATTTTCTAAATATAATGGTTATTTTTGTCACAGAAATGCTGGCAATTATTGCAGTGTAGGAAATCAATATCAAACTCTCTAACTACTGCACTAAGAAACTCATTCATTGTAATGAATTCTCTAGTGTTATTGAAGAACTAGTGAATTTAATAATAGTATCTATTCATATCAGTTGTTGATTCTAAACTGCCAAGCCATTTAAGGATATAGAGCAAATGAAGATAATTTTTAAAAGAAGTTACAAGTATAAATAACCATTTTCTATTTTATTTAAACCCATAAAAGGATTTTTTAACATATTGAACGTGGAAAGACATTATAAATTAAATGAAAATACTCTTCTGGGGTGAAGAATTTGAAAAAGCTTAAGACTAAATCAATCCTTTGCCTCAATCTTTCTGAGGAGGGATACGATTTTCAATCATCTTTTGGTAGAGACAAAATTAAACAGTGGCAACAGAAAAATTTCCAGAACTAAATGAGAGTTCTGATGAGAGGTGAAGCTGGCTGGGCTTCTGGGTTGGGTGGGGACTTGGAGAACTTTTCTGTCTAGCTAAAGGATTTTAAACACACCAATCAGCACTCTGTGTCTAGCTAAAGGTTTGTAAATGCACCAATCAGCACTCTGTAAAAATGCACCAATCAGCACTGGGTCTATGTAAAGGTTTGGAAATGCACTAATCAGCTCTCTGTAAAAACACACCAATCAGCATTCTGTGTCTAGCTAAAGGTTTGTAAACGCACCAATCAGCACTCTGTAAAAATGGACAAATCAGCACTCTGTAAAATGGACTAATCAGCCCTCTGTAAAATGGACCAATCAGCAGGATGTGGGCGGGGCCAAATAAGGGAATAAAAACCGGCCACCCAAGCCCACAGCAGGAACCTGCTTGGGTCCACTTCTACACTGTGGAAGTTTTGTTCTTTCGCTCTTCATAATAAATCTTGCTGCTGCTCACTTTTTGGGTCTGCACTACCTTTATGAGCTGTAACACTCACCACGAGGGTCTGTAGCTTCATTCCTGAAATCAGCGAGACCACGAACCCACCGGAAGGAAGAAACTCCAGACACATGTGAACATCTGAAGGAACTAACTCCGGACACACCATCTTTAAGAACTGTAACACTCACCGCGAGGGTCTGCGGCTTCATTCTTGAAGTCAGCGAGAACAAGAACCCACCAGAAGGAACCAATTCCAGACACACTGAGATATCTAAAAAATATTATCTTCAAAGACTGGGACCATCTCTTAATCACCTTGAAATCTCATCTTCTAGCTAGCAGAGAACTGTTAAATTACTAAATAAATGAATTGTGGAATTACCAACTAAATGTTTAATCTGCCGAATAGGTTATTATGGTGGAGTAGTGACAATATTATCACTTAGTAGTGCCAATAATATTAAAGTATTCACCCCTCAAAATACTCTAATTAAACTTCCATTATTTCTATTCTACTAAAATTACTTTTGCCCTGGTCATCAATTTGTCAGAGCCAGTGGTCCTTACTGTACTGTTTAACAGTGTTTGGTAGACTAGATTGCGCTTTCCTTCCTGAAATTCTTTGCTTTGCATCTTTGACACAACATTGACCTTTCCTTTCTCACTTTCCTTTATCAGTTTCCTCCGTTGGCATCTCCTCATCCAATTAATCTGTAAGTGTTAGTGGGCTGCAGCAACCAAGCTTGACCCCTTTCCCTATTTTTCTCTTTTTTGTCACACTCCCTTGATCTCAACTATATACTGATGGTGTCATATACACACTCACAGCTCTGATCTCTCCCTATTTCTAAATTCGGTTGTCTGTCTATTTGGCATCCCTAGCTAGATTTCTGATAAGTATTTCAAACTTAAAATGTCCCAAAGAAAACTTTGGATTTCTGACTCTGACCCCAACCCAAACTTTCCTTACTGCCAGTAAGTGGTATAACCTTCCACCCACTTTATTGAGCCAAAAAACATAAGACTTATCTTTGATTATTTTCTTTTCCTCATTATCTTACCACAAGCCCACCTTCAGTTCATGCTGGAATTGAGGATATATACTAAGTTCTCTCTTGCCTGTCTGCCTTCCAACTATTATTTTTGTGCAAGCAATCATACTTCCCCTACACTAAAACAAAATTCTCCTAATTGATGAATTCTCCTTTTCTCCAGTCTTTCCATCCACCTACATCCCCATCTATCTTCCACAAATAATCACATTTCAATAATATGCTTTAGATACTGTTGTTCTGCTTAAAACCACTGATGATTTTCTACTTCATGTATAGTAAAATAAGTGATTTTTACCAAAGCTCACAAGGTCGAATATGATCTTGTTTCTGCCTACCTTCTCAGCCTCATCTTTTTGAATTATTGCCTTTACTACGCTCTGTAGACCCACTGGACACCTGTTCATTATGTTTTCCAAGACTAATTTCACCATAGATTCTTTGCATTCACCATTTTTGCACAGAGAATGTTTTCTTCCTCTACTCCTCCTTTTATGAGAGGCCTCTATCTTAAAGCTTAGATATCATATTCTTAAAGAGCCTTTCTCTAATTATCCCACCAAAAGTTCCTTCTCCTTCCAGTTATTCTTTATCATATTCCATAGTTTTGGTTTATATTCATATTACTTTTAGTTTATATTCATTTATTATTGAAAATTATCTTATTTATACATTACATATTTATTTTCTAGCTCTATGACTACAATGAAAGCTTCAGGAGAGCCAGAATTCTAACAAACTCATCTTCCATTTCTATTTAAATTGGTGGACTTTATCCTATTTATTTACCAGATAGTTTCATCCAAAGGAGATAAGAAAAAGATCTATGAACACTGTAAAAAGAAAAACTTCAGCCGAATTAAAATTAAAGGGGTTTAATTGCACAATAAATGATTTATGAATTGGGCAGCCCCCAGAATCAGAGCAGATTCAAAGACACTCCAGCATAGCCACGTGGTAGAAGAAGATTTATAGACAAAAAAAAGGGAAATGATATACAGAAATGGAAAGTGAGGTACAGAACAGCTGGATTGGTTACAGGTTGGCATTTGCCTTATTTGAACACAGTTTGGACACTCAGTAGTGTATGAATAGTTGAAGTACCGCCACTGCAATTGGCCAAGACTCAGCTATTGTTACATGGGCATACTCCTAAGTTAGGTTTTCAATGTTGTCTACCTATTCAGCTCGGTTGCAGTTTGTCCACAAGGACTCAAATGTAGAAGTACAGAGTCCTTCTCAGGCCACGTTTAGTTTGCTTTAACAAAACTTACTCATTTATTCATCCAACATTTATTTATGGCCATGCACTATGCTAGGCACTGAGAATGTGGTAGTGAAAAAACTGATTTAACTGTGGATACTCTGAGGAATAGGATAATTTAAATGGAGAGAGGCAGGAAAGTCTACGATAAAATATCATTTTGGCTTAGATCTGAAAAATAACTAGGAGTCAGGAATAAGTAGACATGTAGATCAGGATACCAATAAAATAATTATTGGTGCTTTAAAAAATCTTATGGCAAATTTTATATTAAAAGCTATCAGAAAATAATTATGAGTCATACAAATTGAAAGTGATGAAGTATTCATTATAATTAATTAACTTTCTTAATCTTAATCTTAGTTCATTTGCTTTCAAGGTACCATCACTGTGATCTTCCCACTGGAATTTATCACGCACTCCATACAACATCTTTTCCCCCTGTTGACACTTACAACACCATAGAGTCTGCCAGATTCTATTGCCCTCATTTCAGGGCTGCTTGAACTATGACCTAGCTCTGTTTCAGAGACATTCCTATCTGAGTCCCACTCAAAGATGGTTGTTTGTTGCTGTCATTTTACACTTACAGTATTTGAGCCTGAGTAGTATTCCGGAGTAGGTGTAAAATCTGCTATCTTCATTACTCAAAGAGGGTTGCCAAGCATTGTGTTTCCTCCTTTTTTGTAGAAGATGCACTGTGCAATAACTTGTTTTTACTTTTAGAGGGGATGTTCCACAGTGTCCCTAACAACTGGACTCCTAAAAATTTGACAGATGTAGCAAACATTGAATCTTTGTAGAATTATCTCCTACCCTCTGAAGAGCTATAAAATTTTAAAAAGTAAGGGTATTATGAAGAGGAAAATAATAATTTTAAAAACTATTTAAATGGAAAATTTGTTATGTTAACACAGTCATTAAATTATCAGAGTATAAAATGACATGTTGCTTATAACTCTAAAATATGATGTATTAAGGCAAACACTAGATGGTAAAACAAAGCTAATAGATTATTTATGTAGAGTAATTATGGTTATTTTCTCCTTAATACTTCTTTAATTTTTTTCTAAAATTATAAAAGAAAGTATGTTCCTGCGTATCTCTGGCAAAAAGGGAGCAAAGACCTCACCCACCAAGTTTTCTGAATTGCTTTCTTGTTCAGTTGTTCCATATATCTTTTGTTTATTTCTTGCTTGACCAATTCAGAATATTTGTCCTTCCTCTATTAATGTGTAGTACTGTAATAGCACTTTACTTATTCTATCATTTCTAATTGGCCAATGGCTTGTTTCATGAAAATAGTTGTGTATCCTTTTCAGAAACTGGTTAAGATTTAGAGAGTTGTGGAGAAAAAACTTTTTCATTTTCCATCTCTTTGTTTTTTGTACCACCCTAAATCTCTGTCAAGTGTCTGTATTCAAGTGTCAAAACCACTTTATCATCTTTGATTTGCCAGAGATTTCTTTTTGCACGTGATGCTAATAGTTTAATGAATCAGCTATAATTTGATCTCCAGGTGCTGAAGATATTAGTTGTGTGAATTGACCCTGTAGCATTTGCCCTGGGAGGATCCTCCCAGAGAGTCTAAGACCACATGGACAGGCTGGAGTACAAGTTGAAAGAATTAATTATTGCAGATAACCCTTAAGCAACCCCAATGGTGTTCATCCATCAAATGAGTCCTATAGTCAGATTGTTAGCTCGCTAGCCCACCACCTGTGATCACGGGATGATGATGTTATAAGAATTACCTGATTACATAGTAAGTGCTGAATAATGACCTGGAACCTCCTGGCTGTGAGACATATGGAACTTAAAGATGACAAACTAAAAAACTTAATACAATGAATTAAACTGTAAGAAATTTTACATAATAAATTACATAAACTAAGAAATTTTCAATTTCTAGAATTATCCTAGAATCAGGACCACTCTCTCCCTGAAATTGTAAATAGCTGCAGACTTTTGGGAAATGGAAAAGGGAAGCTGGGTGAGATTGACCTAATATTTACAGCTCTGAGTTCAGACTGCTTATTGCTGATTCTGCTTAGGTCTGGATACCTTGAATTTTCCAGATCTCATCTTTATTTCTCTACAAATGAGGAGAAAAGGAAAAGTTTTTAAACAGGAGCATCTATTGTTACAAGCGCTATGTCAAACACAAATTTTATGTTATTTCATTTTCACCACATTCCTGTTTGGCATCATAACCTCCATGCCGGTGGTAAAAGTTTTAGACTTACATGGACTAAATAGCTTGCTCAATAAGTGCAGAGCTGGAATTTAAACTCAGATTTCTCTGACTTTAAATCTGCTCATTTCACATCTTGCATCCTCTTCCATAGCAATTACCCGGTAATATCACCTCTCCTCGTTCTCCCTGTGCTGCAGGGACTTAGTGCTTGCCACAGTCCCCAATTCCTATTAGAGGCTAGATTTCTTTCCTTATACTCAATTCTCAGATGTTCTACCCTAAACCCAGATCTTTCTGTTGCTAGTTCAACACTCAGAGTTGGCTAATGGCCTGCACCTTAGATCATGATCAATCATTTGCTTCATTTGTTCTTAGATAGATAACATTTGAGGTTATGTGTAAGGGTTAAGTTTATGTGTCAATTTGGCTGGGCTAGAAGATACAGTTATTTTGAGAGATGACAGCATGCTGGCAGCCCTTGCTCGCTCTTGGTGCCTCCTCGGCCTCGGCGCCCATTCTGGCCACGCTTGAGCCCTTCAGCCCGCTGCTGCACTGTGGGAGCCCCTCTCTGGGCTGGCCAAGGCCGGATCCAGCTCCCTCTGCTTGCGGGGAGATGTGGAGGGAGAGGCACGGGCGGGAACCAGGGTTGCACGTGGCGCTCATGGGCCAGCGCAAGTTCCAGGTGGGCGTGGGCTTGGCGGGCCCTGCACTTGGAGTGGCCAGCCAGCACCGCTGGCCCCAGGCAGTTAGGGACTTAGCACCTGGGCCAGCAGCTGTGGAGGGTGCGCCAGGTCCCCCAGCAGTGCTGGCTCACTGGCACTGCGCTCGAATTCTCGCCGGGCCTCAGCTGCCTCCCCATGGGGCAGGTCTCGGGATCTGCAGCCCGCCATGCCTGAGCCTCCCCGCTTGCAGTGGGCTCCTGCATGGCCCAAGCCTCCCCGAGGAGCACTGCCCCCTGCTCCATGGCGCCCAGTCCCATCGACCACACAAGGGCTGAGGAGTGCAGGTGCACTGCACGGGACTGGCAGGCAGCTCCGCCTGCGGCCCCAATGCAGGATCCACCAGGTGAAGCCAGCTGGGCTCCTGAGTCTAGTGGGGACTTGGAGAACCTTTATGTCTAGCTAAGGGATTGTAAATACACCAATCAGCATTCTGTGTCTAGCTCAAGGTTTGTAAATACACCAATCAGTGCTCTGTGTCTAGCTAATCTAGTGGGGCCTTGGAGAACCTTTATGTCTAGCTAAAGGATTGTAAATACACCCATCAGCACTCTGTGTCTAGCTTAAGGTTTGTAAATGCACCAATCAGCACTCTATATCTAGCTAATCTAGTGGGGACTTGGAGAACCTTTATGTCTAGCTAAAGGATTGTAAATACACCAACCAGCACTCTGTGTCTAGATCAAGGTTTGTAAACACACCAATAAGCACCCTGCATTTAGCTCAAGGTTTGTAAATGCACCAATCAGTGCTCTGTGTCTAGCTAATCTAGTGAGGACTTGAAGAACTTTTGTGTCTAGCTCAGGGATTGTAAGCAGACCAATCAGCTCTCTGTAAAACAGACCAATCAGTTCTCTGTAAAATGGACCAATCAACAGGATGTGGGTGGGGCCAGATAAGGGAATAAAAGCAGGCTGCCCAAGCAAGCAGTGGCAACCTGCTTCGGTCCCCTTCCACACTGTGGAAGCTTTGTTCTTTTGCTCTTTGCAATAAATCTTGTTGCTGCTCACTCTTTGGGTCCGCACTGACTTTATGAGCTGTAACACTCACAGCGAAGGTCTGCAGCTTCACTCCTGAGGCCAGCAAGACCACGAACCCACCGGAAGGAATGAACAACTCCGGAGGGGAGGAACGAACAACTCCAGATGCGCTGCCTTAAGAGCTATAACACTCACTGCGAAGGTCTGCAGCTTCACTCCTGAAGCCAGTGAGACCACGAACCCACCAGAAGGAAGAAATTCCGAACACATCCGAACATCAGAAGGAAAAAACTCTGGACACACCATCGTTAAGAACTGTAACACTCAGCGCGAGGGTCCGCGGCTTCATTCTTGAAGTCAGTGAGACCAAGAACCCACCAATTCCAGACAGAGTTTACTCAAACACGAATCTAGGTGCTGCAGTGAATGTCATTAACATATGCAATCAGCTACCTTTAAGTAAAGGAGACTGTCCTTAATGATGTGGCCATGATATAATCAGTTGAAGATCTTAAGAATGAAAATTGAGGTTTTCTGAAGAAGTCCTGCCTTAAGACTGCAGTGTCAACTTCCACAATTTCCAGCCTGGTGACCTGCCCTACAGATTTCAGAGTTTCTGCCTGACCTGCCCCTTTTGTACTTGTCAGCCAATTGTATGAGCCAATTTCATAAAATAAAATGCTTTATATGTTAATATAATTTTATGTATATAATTTTAATATATATAGTTTATAAATAAGTATATACAACGTACAATTAGTTCTGTTGGTTCTGTTTCTCTAGAGAATTCTGACTGGTACAGCATGGAACTTTTATAACATTATTTCCCAGTGTCTTATGTATGACATTGACTTTGACCCCATATTCAGACTTCCTATTTTGACCCAGTCAAGACAATCTACATGGACCTCCAGCCGTCTTTGTTCTGATTAATTGTATGAAGACACATAATGATGCAACCCACTTAGAACTAATGGTATGCTGTCCTGAGATAGCATATGTCTCTGTGTATGTCACATTAATTATTGGATTTGATGCCTGTCAAAATAGGCACACTAAAAAATTCAGAGAAAGGGAGGCAGAAGAGACAAACGTCAATGTGCTGATTAGTTAATAGACAGTCTGTTGATAAACCCATGTTTGAAGCATTTCAGAAAAGTTAAAAGGTCATAAATCTATAAAATTCATCGACCATATCTATGTGGCAGTGATTTGTTTGTGTACAAAGAAAACACACTTAACTAGTTTAAGAACCTTAATTGAAGCATCACTCCTCCTTGTTATTCATCATATTTTATGGAAACTCCAAAAACAATTTATAATACATCATTCAATTAAAAAGGTTAATTAATGTAGGTTATCAGCAAAATACTGTCTTGGTGTTAAGAATTATTCATTATATTTTTAGCCTACAAAGCCACTAGACTCTGCTACATTGTAACCAAATGCTCATTTTCTGTAGATTGTTACAGCAGTGTGTCTTGTGGTTTAACTCCTTCAATCATGCTTTTACACATCAAATATTTAGTGGGGACTTTTGTTGTAAACACTGTGCTATGCTCTAGGACTGCAACAACCAGCACAGGAATCTGGGTCTTCCTCTAAGAACTGGGCTAAATGACAGGTGAGTGTTAAGAAGGTGGATAGAGAGCTTTAGTGGCATGTGAGAGGGCAGCAAAACCCTACACTAG
The DNA here is from genome assembly GCF_000001405.40 of Homo sapiens. Lineage (NCBI taxonomy): Eukaryota > Metazoa > Chordata > Mammalia > Primates > Hominidae > Homo > Homo sapiens. Next base: position 104,203,364 of record NC_000009.12, read on the forward strand.
GGGAGTAAAAACTAAGCTAGGAACTAATAGAGGACTAAGACTGGTGAAGAGGGAGAGATGTTTGCTCTAGGAAGAGAGACACTAACTTTGTGAAGGCCTGAGAATGAGAGAGCTCCTGGTGTGTTCGAGAAAGAAAGAGATACACCTGGAGCATATAAAGTAGGGAAGGGAGATGGTGGTGGGGAGAGTGAGCAGCAAAAATGAAGTTGAAGACATAATTAGAAACAAAGCTTTTATAAACCAAAGGAGTGTGGACTTCAGTCTGATGATGATCTATACTCTGGAGCCTTGCACCTCAAAGTAGACCAGGAACAACAGTATAGAAGCTTGTTCTGTGATCACAACCCACCCCAGACTTAGATAATCAGAAGTGGCATTTCATAAGATCCTCAGGTAATTCATATACATATTAACCTTTGAAAAGCACTGATCTAGAGCCACTAGAACAACTTTAATTGGGACACAATAAAAGGGATGCTTCACCTAATTCATCTCTTGCTGTGAGTTCTGCTCCGACATAGAACTTTGTTTCCCAGGAACTTACCTGGTAGCTGTTGGCTAATTCTCAGACTTCATCTGCTGTCACTCTCTCTTGCTCTCATTCTGTTGTAGTCACACCTGTCCCGGCATGGGATCCTCTCAGGTTGCTCCTGGATATAGGAAACATGTTTCAGCCTCTGTGACTTTGCCTTCACTCTGGATTCTCCTGTGATAGTTTTGCTCTATATCACTGAATGGCTTGTTCCCTCACTTCATGCCAGTCTGTGCCCAAATGTCACGTCCTCAGAGAGGCCCCTGAGACCTCCCTATCTAAAATACCTGTGTGGTCTCCTACTCACCTTTACCTTGCTTAATTTTTATTGTAACCTATATTAGTACACGACATTATTTTATGCAGTTTTATTTTTTCTAAATACTGTAGTTGCTTATTTGTTTGTTATTGTTGAACTCTACTACTACAATAGAAGTCTTGTGAAGGCAGGGAGTTTTCTCTCATGTTTATGGCTATCTTGCCAGCAGCTAGTTACTCAATAGATATTTGTAGAATGAATGGATGATTGAATTAGTTAAAGGATTAGTTAGAAAGAAACATCAAATGCATAAAGCTTGGAGCTGTCTACCACTGACCACCACCCTCCACCACACACACATTCACTCTGTAGTGCAATTAAACTAAAGCTTCTGAAGTCTAACAGCACAGCAGGACCTCGCCCCAGATTGATCTAATTTCCTGCCAGAAGAAATTTTCTGACATTCAACAAGTATTGCAGAAATCTTGGTATTAAGGCAAATTTCCATATTTATTGGAAGATCTAGGGATTTTAGGGTCAAGAATAACTGACAAGTCTTAGAGAATAGCAAGAGAAAGTTTTGTGTGGTGGTGGTATGGAGCTTTAAGGAGTTGGATGGGCTATGAGAAGCATTTTATAATTTGCCAAGAGATAGTTTACAGTTTAACATTTCCCCCCCCCCATTGCCAAATTTCAATAATCTAACACTCAAAAGACTTTGTGTTCGTGTATCAGGTGCACAACAGCTTCCTGTGGGTAGTGGTCACTGTATTGGGCAAGCTCAGAATGATAGGATATTTCCATCATCGCAGACAGCACTCTTTCAGACTTTTTTCATCAAGTACTGTAGATATCCTGGGGTGGGATGTTTTAAAGAACTTAATGAAAATAATCTGAATGTTTATAGCAGTGGAGGCAGGAAGGTACCAGTGTGTCTGCTGAATTTGTGAGAGCGTTCAACATCTTTCACAGTACTGGTATGAAAGTCCCTACAATGTCAGTGCTACCGACTTTCAGTGAAGGAAAGAGTCAGAGAAGGACTGACATGTCTGAGAATATGGGAATGTTCTACGTGTCTCCAACACTGGATGGTAGAGATGCACTCGCTGTGCAGCATAGAAGAGCATGCCTCCAGTGTCTGTAGATCTGAATTTCTAAACCATTCACTGGGGAGACACAAGTGTGTCAGCTGTGCTAGATGAGGTTCTGACAGTGGGGAGAGGGTATTCAATGAGATGAGACGAGTACTGGTCGTTGAAGGAAGAGAGTCAGCCTTACCTAGGCCTCTGAGGGTTTTTTGTGTTTTGTTTTTGTTTTTGGTTGTTGTTTTTGTTCTTTTAACATGAAAATAGTTTAAATTCATGATCTCTAAGATTCTTTTCTGCCCTCATAGCCTGGTTTCAAGAGCTAGCCTGCCTGCACCTCTCAGGTATTCCCATGTCTATGCCCATTAGTGAACTTCTTAAGATAAATGCAAAGTAGTTATATTCAAGATATTTGGATAATGCAGAACTAAATATTTAAATCAGCATCTTCAAAAAAATAACTTCCAAAAATTATATATTGTTAAACAAAAAACAATTTAGTTTTAAGAAGTTAGCCTTTCCACATGTAAGGAACTTGGAAGTCATCAATTTCTCCTAACAAATAAAAGTGAACAGACTGAAAAAATCAACAACTCTTCTTGGATCCATAAGAAAGGTGAGAACACAGGGTAAATCACTGCCCCCAAGATTGGAGAGGGACAGACAGGCAAATATAGAGTCATGACTTACCGGAGAAGAAACTCGGGAGTGGAAACTGCCGCAGGAACCAGTGCTGGGGTAGGAAAACCTGAACTGTAATTGGCAAATTGCTGGAGGGTCATTGTGAAAAGTCAGAGAGTTAAAAACTCCAAGGGGATCTAGTCATAGGGGTCTCCCCATACTTTGGTTTTATCTCCAGGAGCTCTATCAGGGCTCTCACAGTAAATATTAGGGGAAAATCCCTTTGTGCTTCCAGCAGAGGGAGGGAAAAAGCAACCATTTTGAAATACACCAAAGCACTCAGCTCTTAACAATGTCTGCTCTCAGGAGAAACTATTTAACCAGAGCTTAACCTACTGGGGTTTTATCGGACCCTAACTTACCTGGGGAAGAGAAATGCCCAATTCCACCCAACTCAGCTATCCTGTCCCACCTAAATGGGAAGGAACTGAACGGCACTTGTGGAGATCACAGTCCAGAGGCATAGGCTTGCTAAAAATAAAAGACTGAGACCTAATGATAGGGCCAGAGAACGCCTCCTCTTCCCCCACACCTTATCACTGCATTACTAAGGCTCATTTACAACCATTCATTTTACTCAATACATTATGTCCAGCTATCAAGAGAAAAAAAAAGGCATACTAAAGGCAAAAAATAAAATGTGAAGAGGCAGAGCAAGCCTTAGAACTAAACATCATAGAAATGTTGGAATGATCACATTAGAGTAGGTAGTTAGGCACACATGAGCAGAGCAGGAAAGGCCCCCACCCAGGAATGTCAGGTGACCCTCAGGTGATCATCAGGTTGTTTTTTAACCATCTCTCTAAAATAAGAATTGGTAACAGCCAGTGCCCAGGAAAGGTAGTCTCTCAAAAGATAGAAAACATCTGAAGCTAGTGATCAGCAGCTTCCCAATAAGATCTCAGGAGTTGGGTGAGTGGGCTTAAGCGTGCACACTAAGAGGCAAAATAGTGGCATTTAACTGGTATGTGACCTTCCTCTAGGAAGGCTCGACTGGTAAGGGAAAAAGGCCTCAAGTGAGCATGGACACAACTGCAGTAAATACACTGTGCATGCGGCCCCTCCCAAGTGCTGGCAGGCCACTGTGCATGCAGACAGCCCATCCCAAGAGAAAAATCAAGGCAGGAGAAATGGAAATCCTGGAACTATGGTATAAAACCCCAAATCAAGGGCCAGATGGGGCACTTGGATCTCCCAAGTCACCCACTTGGCCCTCTTCCAAGTGTACTTTGCTTCCTTTTGTTCTTGCTGTAAAACCTTTTAATAAACTTTCATTGCTGCTCCAAAGCTTGCCTCAGTCTCTCACTCTGCCTTATGCCTCTCAGCTGAATTCTTTCCTCCAAGGGGGCAAGGATAAAGTTTGCTGCAGATCCATCGGATTCACCACTGGTAACAATCAGACTGGGAATTTAAAACAACAATGATTAGTATGCTAAGGGCTCCAATGGATAAAATAGACAGCATGCAAGAACAGACAGGCAATGTTAACAGAGAATTGGAAATCCTAAGAAAGAACCAAAAAGAAATGCTGGAGATCAAAAACTTTGTAACAGAAATGAAGAATGCCTTTGACGGGCTATTAGTAGATTGGACACAGCTGAGAAAAGAATATCTAATCTCTCTCTATATATATACACATATCTATCTATATATATACACACATATATATGTGTGTCTATCTATCTATCTATCTATATATATAAAATAGAAACCTCCAAAACTGAAAGGCAAAGAGAACAGAGACTGAATGGCATAGAACAGAATATCTAAGAACTGTAGAACAACTCCAGGTGTAAGTAGCATGCACATAATAGAAATACCAGAAGGAGAAGAAAAGAACCGAGGAAATATTTGAAAGAGTAATGATTGAGAATTTTCTCAAAGTAATATCAGACACAAAGCCATAGATCCAGAAAGTTCGGGGAACGCCTGCAAGATAAGTGACCCAAAAAACCACACCTGGGCATATGAATTTTAAATTACAGAAAATCAAATATAAAGAAAATGTCCTTAAGCCAGAAGGAAAAAAAAAAAAACCCACCTTACCTCTAGAACAGATATAAGGATTACATCTGATTTCTTCTTAGAAACCATGCAAGCAAGAAGAGAGTGGAATAAAATATTTAAAGTATTGTGAGGAAAAAAACCCCCACCAGCCTAAAGTTCTGCACTCTGTAAAATTGTCCTTCAAAGGTGAAAGAGAAACAAAGAAGTTTTTTTTTTTTGGACAAATTGAGATAACTTGTTGTCAGTAGATCTTTCTTGCAAGAAGTGTTAAAAGTAGTTCTTTAGAGAAAAGGTCAATATAGGTCAGAAATACAGATCTTCACAAAGAAAGGAATAGTATCAAAAAGGTAGTAAGTGAAGGTAAAATACAGCTGTTTATTTTTATTGTTTTTCTTTTTCTAGCTTTATTGAAATATGGTTGGCAAATAAAAATTGTATATATTTAAGGTGTACAAAGTAATGTTTTGATACACATATGCATTGTGAAATGATTACCAGAATCGAGCTAATTAACATATCCATCACCTCACATAGTTACCATTTAGGGGGATGTGTGGTGAGAATACTTAAGATCTACTCTCTTAGCAAATTTATTTTTTATTTTATTTTATTTTATTTTATTTATTTTTTTTTGAGATAGTCTCACACTGTCACCCTGGCTGGAGTGCAATGGCTTGATCTTGGCTCACTGCAACCTCCGCCTTCTGGGTTCAAGCAATTCTCCTGCCTCAGCCTCCCGAGTAGCTGGGATTACAGGTGCCCGCCATCACGCCCGGCTGATTTTTTGCATTTTTAATAGAGATGGGGGTTTCACTATGTTGGCCAGGTTGGTCTCGAACTCCAGACCTCATGATCTGCCTGCCTCAGCCTCTCAAAGTGCTAGTATTACAGGCGTGAGCCACTGCGCCCAGCCTCTCTTAGCAAATTTCAAGTACAGATAGTCCTCAACTTACTATGGTTTGACCTATGATGTTTTGATTTTATGATGAGTTTATTAGGATGTAACCCACTGTAAGTCAAGGAATATCTGTGTACAATATATTATTATTAACCATAGTTACCATTCTGGTACACTAGGTCTCCAGAATTTATTCATCTTATAACTTAAAGTTTGTACCCTTTGACGAACATTTTCCCATTTCCCTAGGCCCAGCTTCTGACAATCATCATTCTATTCTCTGTTTCTATGAGTTCTGTTTTTTTATATTCCACATATAAGTGAGATCATGCAGTATTTGTCTAATACAAATTACAACTTGTGTAGGATGGCTAGGGTAATCTCTCTCTTGCTGTCCACCTCATATCTAAATATTTCACTCAGGACGCACAATAGAACCAGGAAGATAATGCTCTGGGAAACACCCCTAACATAGGTAACGTTATGAACCATCTTCATGTGCCTTTTTCAATTCCTCCTTCAATTCTTTAATTCCACTTTCTGCCCTGCGCATTTACAGCTCAAGGCTGCCTACTTCTCTTTGTGTATTCAGCGCGCTATTTAATCATGGACCTAAAAGCTGAGACTTTTTTTTTTTGTCCTTAAACACGATAACTTGTACCCTTTAGGCTCAATTGACTTCTGGTGTCTCTAGGTAATTACCCTGCCAGACTCGACTGTGGCTTGTGATAGCAAGCTAGTATTGACCTAAAGGGACGCAGCTTTAGCAGGACCCGTGGGAGGAAGGACGGCTGCTGGAGACAGACCTCAGTTTTGGCACAGAAGCATGAAGACAGTCTTTTACCTAGGCTTCAGTTTATTATATTCCATATCTAAGCAAACATCCTCGTTTTTGTCATTGCATTTGAGTCTTTCCCAAGAATCCCTTGGCAACACATACGTAAATCTACTCTTAGGTTTGGTCATTTCTGTTCCTACCTATACTTTTGTCTGATCTGGTGTTGATTCTTAGTAAACTCTTGCAGAGTATAATTTTATGTCTAAGTTCTGAGGGTAATTTACCCATTTCACAATCAACAAATATTTAAGGGGCTTCTACTTTGCTAGCCATTTTACTAAACAAAAAAAGAATATGCAACAGTTAAGAGAAAAACATATACTTGCTAACAAGTCATTACAATGCACTTTGAAAAGTCCTTTAGGACATCCTGATGTAAGCACTAAAATTCACTGATTCTAACAAGCATCAGAGCTTTTCAATGATGCGATTTGTAGCTTCCTAATGTAGTGTGTGATATAAAGGCAAGTGTTAGGGGTTCCCAGAGAATATACAAAGGTAGTCTAAGAAGTGTATTTTTCAATAATTTCTAGAAGACCCTAGGGCCTTCAGCATTCTATAAAGTTGAAGTATGCCACTTGCTGTGGTTTGAATTTTTTTTTCCAAAAAACTCATGTTAAAATGTAATCCCCAATGTGGCAGTATTGACAGGGCCTTTAAGAGGTGATTGGGTTGTGACGACTCTACCCTCATGAATGAATTAATCTATTCACGGATTAAAGGATCAATAAGTTAATGGATTAATGTATTATCACAAGGAGTGGGACTGGTAATTTTATAAGAAGAGGAAGAGAGACCTGAGTTAGCACACTAAGTCTCCCTTCCATTTGATGCCCTGAGCCACCTAGGGACTCTGTAGAGAGTCCCCACCGGCTAGAAGATCCATACCAGATGTGGCCCCCTCAACCTTGGACTTCTCAGCCTTTGTAAGATATAAATTCCTTTTTCAAAATAAATTACCCAGTTTTAAGTATTCTATTATAAGCAAGAGAAAAGAGACTAAGACGCCATTAGTAGGAAATAAATACATCTAAATTTGTTTATGTTGTTTTTCTTTAGTTATCTAAACCTTCAAGGTAGCTTTAAGTACTGTACACTTAAGAAATAGCTTTGTGCTCTTGCAAATATGAACTTGCTTAGAGTTCCTTTGTCCTGGTAGAACATGCTGATACAGTGATTAAAATCCTGCTGTTCTTCTGACAGTCCTTTGTGAAATCATAAAATATTTAAGATTGTTTCATGTATATAACAAGTTGAACATTCCTAATCCAAAAATCCAAAATCCTGAATGCTCCTACATCTGAAACTTTTTGAGCACCAACATGATGCCACAAGAAGAAATTGCCACACCTGACCTCATGTGACAAGTCAGAGTCAAAATGCAGTCAAAACTTTGTTTCGTGCAAAAGATTGTTTAAAACATTGTATAAAATTACCTTCAGGCTCTGTGTGTAAATGAATTTCATGTTTAGACTTGAGTCCCATCCCCAAGATAATCTTATATTTATGCAAATATAGCAAAAACCAAAAACCTCTGAAATCCAAAACACTTCCGGTAGTCCCAAGCATTTGGGATAGGGATGTGTAATCTGTATAATAATTTTTCTTAAACAAAGTAAATTGCTCTGAGCAGGTCATATATGGAGCCCAATCCTCTTCAAAAATATTAGCAAAAAACTTTTTAAGGACAGAATGTCTACCTATCCCACCACTTCCTATTAAAATAACATGCCTACATATTATTTTAGGCATGCATTTCCTGTTATACAATGTTATGAGTTTTATTATATTCTGAAATATAATTGTGTCTTACTGGGGATGCCAGACTCCTGGGGGAACAGTTATATCTTGTATGCATTTAAAATGCATATTTACATACTTATAAATTGTATTTTATGGTATTCTCTTACTCTGCTTTGTGCTACTATAACAAAATACCTGACACGGAGTAATTTATAAAGAACAGAGATCTATTTCTTACAGTTCTGGAGGCTGTAAAGCCCAAGGTCAAGGGAACTGCATCTGGCAAGCATCTTGTTGCTGTGTCATACCATGGCAGAAGGAATAATATGGTAAGAGCACAAGAAAGAGAGCAAGAAAGGACAGAGACCTCATGACCTAATTACCTCTTAAAAGTCCCACCTCTCTACATTGTTGCACCAGGGATTAAGTTTCCAACAGATGAACTTGGAGGGACACACTCAAAATCATAATAGCATTGTCTCTTACTTAGGCTGTATATGTACAGCTTGTGTAGTTTTATTCATTCTTCTTGTTGATCTGTACAAATGTGTTTTTGTAGAACACATTGGGAAATTCAGATTAACATGGCTGCCATTATTTCACATGAACCTAAAAGATGTAGATTAATTTTATTTTTACTATGAAATTTAAACCTGAAGATGTAATAATCCAATTTCCCAAGCAACTTTGCTAATTGATGTTTATGTTGTAGTGAAAAAATAATGAAGCTTTGGTGTCAGCCATTACCTGGACTAATATCCCATCTATATTACTTACTGTCTCTGTAAGCTTAACTTCATGTCTTCATGTATAAAAGGAAAATAATTATCCAAAAGGCTACTGTTAAAGCTCAATATATTTAATATAATAAATATAATGCACTTAAACAGTGCATGCCACTATAGGATATTTCCTTTTTTATTTAGAAAGCACAGACTTAATAATAAATGTACCTGCTAAGTTAAATCATAAAAAGATAGCTATAATGAGCTAGGGAAATTGATTTAAAAAGTTAAATCAATATCTGTCATTATACACATCTACCATTATTCATGAAGAAGGCCTTGTCACTTTAGCTACACTTGTAATAGAGGTCATTTTATTGATGTAACATATGGCTACCAGGTAGATTAAGATATTTATTCATCTGTTTTTGATGAAAGGAACAATCATGATGGCAGATTAGAATATTATGGGAAAACATGTCCTTGCTCCAGTGAGTGGTCTTCTTGAAATTACTTTTCAAATTTATTGTTGTTCAATTACAGTAGTTCTCCTATTCTCAAAGTCTGACATGAAATATACTATCAAATAAGAATATTCACAAGTACATAAGTAATAAGATAGTAGCAAACATAGAGAAAAATCATGTTTTGTCCTTCAGAATCCTTCAAGATTCAATGCTTTCCCAGCAGTTTCAACTTTAAGAATTAACATTTCCCTCCTCTTATTGCATTAACAACATTAAGTCAAATCAAAAGAGAAGAAAAGCATCACACTCCCAGCAGCTCAGTAAATCAAGTGGTTTACCTGTTTCCTTTCCTTGGAAGTAAGTATGTATATTTTCAGGGTTTTAAGTGCAGAGATTGTGTCATAAGCTCATGTTTTTTAGTTTTTCTTTACAAAATGGTTCCTAAACACACTCCAATTAGCATGATATAAACAATGGAATATACACAGACAAAGATTGAAAGAGAGCTGCAAAATTGTTTAGGAAGTGTATTAGTCTGTTCTTATGCTCCTAAAAAAGACTGGGTAATTTATAAAGGAAAGAGGTTTAATTGACTCACAGTTCCACATGGCTAGGGAGGCCTCACAATCATGGAGGAAGGTGAATGAGGAGCAAAGTCACATCTTACATGGCAGCAGGCAAAAGACAGCATGTGAAGGGGAACTCCCCTTTATAAAACAATCAGATCTTGTGAGACTTATTCACAGCCACAAGAACAGCATGGGAATGATCCAACCCCATGATTCAATTACCTCCCACTGAGTCCCTCTCAAAACAGGTGGGAATTATGGCAGCTACAGTTCAAGATGAGATTTGGGTGGGGACACAGCCAGACCATATCAGGAAGATGTAATGATGACTGATTTCACCCTCCCTTTTCCATTTTCCCCCCAGTTTTATTGAGGTATAATTGACAAATAAAAATTATATATATATATGGTGTACAACACGATGTTTTGATATACATTGTGAAATGATTCAAACTAATTAACATATCATCATCTCACATACTTATCATTTTTTTGAGGTGAGGATTTAAGACAGACTCTCTTAGAAATTTTAAAATATATAATACATTATAGTTAACACAATCACCACACGGTACAATAGATCATCAAAACTTATTTATCCTGTAGAACTGAAATTTTGTACCTTTTGACCAACTTCTCCCCATTCCCACCCCCATCCCAGAGCCCCTAGCAACCACTATTCTACTCTCTGCTTGTCTAGAGCCCACATACAAGTGAGATCACACAGAATATTTTTCTGTACCTGGCATAACGAGCTAAGAATAAAGTCTTCTAGATTCATCTTTGTGTCACAATTGACAAGGCTTCCTTCTTTTTAAATCTTTTTTATCTTTCTTTAATTATTTTTTAACTGACAAAAATTATATATATTCATGCTATATAACGTGGTGTGTTGAAATATGCATGCATTTTACAATGGCTAAATCGAGCTAATTAATATATTTATTATCCCAGCTTCTTCTTATTTTTTGTGGTGAGAAAACTTAAAATCCACTCTTTTAGTGATTTTCAAGTATGCAATACATTGTTATGAACTATATTCACCATGTTGTACAATTATAAATTTCTTGAACTTATTATTCATGTCTAACTGAAATTTTGTATCATTCAACAAATGTTTTCACAGTAATTCCCCATCCCAGTCCCTGGCAACCATTACTTTACTCTCTGCTTCTATGAGGTTGACTTTTTTAGATTTCACATATAAGTGAGATCATGTGATATTTATCTTTCTGTACTGGGCTTATTTCACTTAAAATAATATCATCCAGGCTGGGTGTGGTAGCTCATGCTTGTAATCCCAGCACTTTGGGAGGCTAAGGCAGGTGGATCACAGGAGGCCAGGAGTTCAAGAGCACCCTGACCACCAAAGCAAAACCCCTTTTCTACTAAAAATACAAACATCAGCTGGGCATGGTGGTGTGCGCCTGTAATCCCAGCTACTCAGGAGGCTTGGGCACAAGAATCCTTGAACCTGAGAGACGGAGGTTGCAGTGAGCCAAGATCACACCACTGCACTCCAGCCTGGGTGACAGAATGAGACCCTGTCTCAAAAACAAACAAATAATAATAATATCATCAAGATCCGTCCATATTGTTGCAAATAATAGGATTTTCTTCTATTCAAAGGCTGAATAGTATTCTATTTCTATAATGCAATATATATCACATTATACGCACACACAAACACACACACACATACACATACATCACATTTTCTTTATCCATTCATCCATTAAATGGATGCTTTGATTGATCCCATATCTTCGGTATTGTGAATAATGCTACAATGAACATGGGAGTGCATACATCTCTTCAACATACTGAACAGATACGGCCATAGGTCCAGCAGTGGGAGCCCTGGATCATGTATAGTTCTATTTTCAGTTTTTTGAAAAGCCTTTAGACTATTTTTAATAATGTCTCTCCTAATTTACATTACCACCAAGGAATGTATAAGTGTCTCCTTTTCTCCACATCCTTGCCAGCACTTGCTATCTTTTGTCTTTTTTGTCTTTTGTTTTTTATTATACTTTAAGTTCAAGGGTACATGTGCACAACGTGCAGGTTTGTTACTTATGTATACATGTGCCATGTTGGTGTGCTGCACCCATTAACTCGTCATTTACATTAGGTATATCTCCTATGCTACTCCTCCCCACTTCCCGCACCCCACAACAGGCCCTGGTGTGTGATGTTCCCCTTCCTGTGTCCAAGCGTTCTCATTGTTCAATTCCCACCTATGAGTGAGAACATCAGGTGTTTGATTTTTTACCCTTGCAATAGTTTGCTGAGAATGATGGTTTCCAGCTTCATCCACGTCCCTACAAAGGACATGAACTCATCCTTTTTTATGGCTGCATAGTATTCCATGGTATATATGTGCCACATTTTCTTAATCCAGTCTATCATTGATGGACATTTGGATTGGTTCGAAGTCTTTGCTATTGTGAATAGTGCCACAATAAACATACATGTGCATGTGTCTTTATAGTAGCATGATTTATAATCCTTTGGGTATATACCCAGTAATGGGATGGCTGGGTCAAATGGTATTTCTAGTTCTAGATCCTTGAGGAATTGCCACACTGTCTTCCACAATGGTTGAACTAGTTTACAGTCCCACCAACAATGTAAAAGTGTTCCTATTTCTCCACATCCTCTCCAGCACCTGTTGTTTCCTGACTTTTTAATGATCACCATTCCAACTGGTGTGAGATAGTATCTCATTGTGGTTCTGATTTGCATTTCTCTGATGGCCAGTGATGGTGAGCATTTTTCATGTGTCTGTTGGCTGCATAAATGTCTTCTTTTGAGAAGTGTCTGTTTATATCCTTTGCCCACTTTTTGATGGGGTTGTTTTTTTCTTGTAAATTTGTTTGAATTGTTTGTAGATTCTGGATATTAGCCCTTTGTCAGATGAGTAGGTTGCAAAAATTTTCTCCCATTCTATAGGTTGCCTGTTCACTTTGATAATAGTTTCTTTTGCTGTGCAGAAGCTCTTTAGTTTAATTAGATCCCATTTGTCAATTTTAGCTTTCATTGCCATTGCTTTTGGTGTTTTAGACATGAAGTCCTTGCCCATGCCTATGTCCTGAAAGGTATTGCCTAGGTTTTCTTCTAGGGTTTTTATGGTTTTAGGTCTAACATTTAAGTCTTTGATCCATCTTGAATTAATTTTTGTATAAGGAGTAACAAAGGGATCCAGTTTCAGCTTCCTACATATGGCTAGCCAGTTTTCCCAGAACCATTTATTAAATAGGGAATGCTTTTCCCATTTCTTGTTTTTATCAGGTTTGTCAAAGATGAGATGGCTGTAGATGCATGCTATTATTTCTGAGGGCTCTGTTCTGTGGCATTGGTCTATATCTCTGTTTTTGTACCAGTACCATGCTGTTTTGGTTACTGTAGCCTTGTAGTATAGTTTGAAGTCAGGTAGTGTGATGCCTCCAGCTTTGTTCTTTTGGCTTAGGATTGTCTTGGCAATGGGGGCTCTTTTTTGGTTCCATATGAACTTTAAAGTAGTTTTCTCCAATTCTGTGAAGAAAGTCATTGGTAGCTTGATGGGGATGGCATTGAATCTATAAATTACCTTGGGCAATATGGCCATTTTCATGATATTGATTCTTCCTATCCATGAGCATGGAATGTTCTTCCATTTGTTTGTGTCCTCTTTTATTTCACTGAGCAGTGGTTTGTAGTTCTCCTTGAAGAGGTCCTTCACATCCCTTGTAGATTGGATTCCTAGGTATTTTATTGTCTTTGAAGCAATTGTGAATGGGAGTTCACTCATAATTTGGGTCTCTGTTTGTGTGTTATTGGTGTATAAGAATGCTTGTGATTTTTGCACATTGATTTTGTATCCTGAGACTTTGCTGAAGTTGCTTATCAGCTTAAGGAGATTTTGGGCTGAGAAGATGGGGTTTTCTAAATATACAATCATGTCATCTGCAAACAGGGACAATTTGACTTCCTCTTTTCCTAATTGAATACCCTTTATTTCTTTCTCCTGCCTGATTGCCCTGGCCAGAACTTCCAAAACTATGTCGAATAGGAGTGGTGAGAGAGGGCATCCCTGTCTTGTGCCAGTTTTCAAAGGGAATGCTTCCAGTTTTTGCCCATTCAGTATGATATTGGCTGTGGGTGTGTCATAAATAGCTCTTATTATTTTGAGATACGTCCCATCAATACCTAATTTATTGAGAGTTTTTACATGAAGCGCTGTTGAATTTTGTCAAACGCCTTTTCTGCATCTATTGAGATAACCATGTCGTTTTTGTCTTTGGTTCTGTTTATATGCTGGATTACATTTATTGATTTGTGTATGTTGAACCAGCCTTGCATCCCAGGGATGAAGCCCACTTGATCATGGTGAATAAGCTTTTTGATGTGCTGCTGGATTTGGTTTGCCAGTATTTTACTGAGGATTTTTTGCATTGAAGTTCATCAGGGATATTGGTCTAAAATCCTCTTTTTTTGTTGTGTCTCTGCCAGGCTTTGGTATCAGGATGTTGCTGGCCTCATAAAATGAGTTAGGGAGGATTCCCTCTTTTTCTATTGATTGGAATAGTTTCAGATGGAATGGTACTAGCTCCTTCTCGTACCTCTGGTAGAATTCGGCTGTGAATCCGTCTGGTCCTGGACTTTTTTTGGTTAGTAGGCTATTAATTATTGCCTCAATTTCAGAGCCTGTTATTGGTCTATTCAGGGATTCAACTTCTTCCTGGTTTAGTCTTGGGAGGGTGTATGTGTCGAGGAATTTATCCATTTCTTCCAGATTTTCTAGTTTATTTGCATAGAGGTGTTTATAGTATTCTCTGATTGTAGTTTGTATTTCTGGGGGATCGGTGGTGATATCCCCTTTATCATTTTTTATTGCATCTATTTGATTCTTCTCTCTTTTCTTCTTTATTGGTCTTGCTAGTGGTCTATCAATTTTGTTGATCTTTTCAGAAAACCAGGTCCTGGATTCTTTGATTTTTTGAAGGGTTTTTTGTGTCTCTATCTCCTTCAGTTCTGCTCTGATCTTAGTTATTTCTTGCCTTCTGCTAGCTTTTGAATATGTTTGCTTTTGCTTCTCTAGTTCTTTTAATTGTGATGTTAGGGTGTCAATTTTAGATCTTTCCTGCTTTCTCTTGTGGGCTTTTAGTGCTATAAATTTCCCTCTATAGACTGCTTTAAATGTGTCCCAGAGATTCTGGTATGTTTTATCTTTGTTCTCATTGGTTTCAAAGAACATCTTTATTTCTGCCTTCATTTCCTTATGTACCCAGTAGTCATTCAGGAGCAGGTTGTTCAGTTTCCATGTAGTTGAGTGGTTTTGAGTGAGTTTCTTAATCCTGAGTTCTACTTTGATTGCACTGTGGTCTTAGAGACAGTTTGTTATAATTTCTGTTCTTTTACATTTGCTGAGGAGTGCTTTATTTCCAACTATGTGGTCAGTTTTGGAATAAGTGCAACGTCGTGCTGAGAAGAATGTATATTCTGTTGATTTGGGGTGAAGAGTTCTGTAGATGTCTATTAGGTCTGCTTGGTGCAGAGCTGAGTTCAAGTCCTGGATATCCTTGTTAACTTTTTGTCTTGTTGATCTGTCTAATGTTGACAGTGGGGTGTTAAAGTCTCCCATTATTATCGTATGGGAGTCTAAGTCTCTTTGTAGGTCACTAAGGACTTGCTTTATGAATCTGGGTGCTCCTGTATTGGGTGCATATATATTTAGGATAGTTAGCTCTTCTTGTTGAATTGATTCCTTTACCATTATGTAATGGCCTTCTTTGTCTCTTTGTTGGTTTAAAGTCTGTTTTATCAGAGACTAGGATTGCAACCCCTGCCTTTTTTTGTTTTCCATTTGCTTGGTAGATCTTCCTCCATCCCTTTATTTTGAGCCTATGTGTGTCTCTGCATGTGAGATGAGTTTCCTGATAGGTCTTGACTCTTTATCCAATTTGCCAGTCTGTGTCTTTTAATTGGAGCATTTAGCCCATTTACATTTAAGATTAATACTGTTATGTGTGAATTTGATCCCGTCATTGTGATGTTAGCTGGTTATTTTGCCCGTTAGTTGATGCAGTTTCTTCCTAGCCTCGATGGTCTTTACAATTTGGCATGTTTTTGCAGTGGCTGGTACTGGTTGTTCCTTTGCATGTTTATGCAGTGCAGTGGCTCATGCCTGTAATCCCAGGGAGGCTGAGGCGCGGCGGATCACCTGAGGTCAGGAGTTCGAGACCAGCCTGGCCAACATGGTGAAACCCTGTCTCTCCTAAAAATTACAAAATTAGCTGGGTGTGGTGGCAGGTGCCTGTAATCCCAGTGCTTCCTTCAGGAGCTCTTGTAGGGCCAGCCTGGTGGTGACAAAATCTCTCAGTGTTTGCTTCTCTGTATAGGATTTTATTTCTCCTTCACTTATGAAGCATAGTTTGGCTGGATATGAAATTCTGGGTTGAAAATTCTTTCCTTTAAGAACGTTGAATATTAGTCCCCACTCTCTTCTGGCTTGTAGAGTTTCTGCTGAGAGATCTGCTGTTAGTCTGGTGGGCTTCCCTTTGTGGATAACCCAACCTTTCTCTCTTGCTGCCCTTAACATTTTTTCCTTCATTTCAACTATGGCAAATCTGACAATCACATGTCTTGGAGTTGCTCTTCTCGAGGAGTATCTTTGTGGCGTTCTCTGTATTTCCTGAAGTTGAATGTTGGCCTGCCTTGCTAGATTGGGGAAGTTCTCCTGGATAATATCCTGCAGAGTGTTTTCCAACTTGGTTCCATTCTCCCCGTCACTTTCAGGTACACCAATCAGACGTAGATTTGGTCTTTTCACATAGTCCCATATTTCTTGGAGGCTTTGTTCATTTCTTTTTATTCTTTTTCTCTAAACTTCTCTTCTCGCTTCATTTCGTTCATTTGATCTTCCATCACTGATACCCTTTCTTCCAGTTGATCGAATCAGCTACTGAAGCTTGTGCATTCGTCATGTAGTTCTCATGCCATGGTTTTCAGCTCCATCAGGTCATTTAAGGAGTTCTCTACACTGGTTATTCTAGTTAGCCATTCATCTATTCTTTTTTCAAGGTTTTTAGCTTCTTTGCAATGGGTTTTACCTTCCTCCTTTAGCTCGGAGAAGTTTGATCGTCTGAAGTCTTCTTCTCTCAACTCGTCAAAGTCATTCTCTGTCCAGCTTTGTTCCATTGCTGGCGAGGAGCTGTGTTCCTTTGGAGGGGGAGAGGCGCTCTGATTTTTAGAATTTTCAGCTTTTCTGCTCTGTTTTTCCCCATCTTTGTGGTTTTATCTACCTTTGGTCTTTGATGATGGTGACGTACAGATGGGGTTTTGGTGTGGATGTCCTTTCTGTTTGTTAGTTTTCTTTCTAACAGTCAGGACCCTCAGCTGCAGGTCTGTTGGAGTGTGCTGGAGGTCCACTCCAGACCCTGTTTGCCTGGGTATCAGCAGCGGAGGCTGCAGAACAGTGAATATTGCTGAACAGCAAATGTTGCTGCCTGATCATTCCTCTGGAAGCTTCGTCTCAGAGGGGTACCTGGCCGTGTGGGGTGTCAGTCTGCCCCTACTGTGGGATGCCTCCCAATTAGGCTACTCGGGGGTCAGGGACCCACTTGAGGAGGCAGTCTGTCCGTTCTCAGATCTCAAACTCCATGCTGGGAGAACCACTACTCTCTTCAAAGCTGTCAGACAGGGACATTTAAGTCTGCAGAGGTTTCTGCTGCCTTTTGTTTGGCTATGCCCTGCCCCCAGAGGTGGAGTCTACAGAGGCAGGCAGGCCTCCTTGAGCTGCGGTGGGCTCCACCCAGTTTGAGTTTCCAGGCTGCTTTGTTTACCTACTCAAGCCTCAGCAATGGTGGGCACCCCTCCCCCAGCCTCACTGCCACCTTGCAGTTCGATCTCAGACTGCTGTGCTAGCAATGAGCAAGGCTCCATGGGCATGGGACCCTCTGAGCCAGGAGCAGGATATTATCTCCTGGTGTTCCGTTTGCTGAGACTGTTGGAAAAGCACAGTATTAGGGTGAGAGTGATCTGATTTTCCAGGTGCTTTCTGTTACAGCTTCCCTTGGCTAGGAAAGGGAATTCCCTGACCTTTTGCACTTCCCGGGTGAAGAGATGCCTAGCCCTGCTTTGGCTCATGCTCAGTGGGTTGCACTCACTGTCCTGCACCCACTGTCCGAGAAGCCCCTGTGAGATGAACCTGGTACCTCAGTTGGAAATGCAGAAATCACCGGTCTTCTGCGTCGCTCACGCTGGGAGCTGTAGACTGGGGCTGTTCCTGTTTGGCCATCCTCTTTTGTCTTTTTTATAGTAGCCACTCTAACAAGTGTGAGGTGCTGTCTTTTTGTACTTTTAATTTGCATATTTTCTGACAGTTAGTGATATTGACCATTTTTTATATACTTATTGTCTGTTTGTGTGTTTTCTTTTGAGAAATGTCTATTCAGATCCTTTGCCCATTTTTCAGTTGGGTTATTTGTTTTCTTGCTGTTGAGCTTTTTGAGTCTCTTTTATATTTTGGATATTAACTTCTTATTAGATGGATGGTTTGCAAATATTTTCTCTCATTCTCTTGGTTGTCCCATCCCTTTTTTCAAATGTGCTTTAATATTATTACATTTTATTTTCTATAAATATATGTTAACAGCTAACATATATATTGAGTGCCAGACAATATTTTAAATGTTTTACAGGCATCTTATTTAATTCTTACATTTTTGCAGATGAAGGGAAGGAGTCACAAAGAGGCTAAGTAATTTTATTGGGGTCATACTTCTAAGATTAAATTGCCCTAAATGTGATACTTAATACAATTTGTTATAATTCAGTCTCATGTTTTTTGCATAATTATTGACAATAGCCCAAATATGGAATCAACCTAAATGCTTATCAGCAAATGAATAGTTTTTTTAAATGTGGTATACAGATACAATAGAATACTATTTATCTTTAAAAAAAAGAAAGAGATCCCATTATTTGTGACAACACGGATGAACCTGAAGGACATTAAGTAAAATAAGCCAGGCACAGAAAGACAAATATCACATGATCTGTTATATGTGAAATCTAAAAACTTTGAACTCAGAAGTAAAGAGTGGAATGGTGGTTACCAGGGGCAAGGTTGGGGGTAATTGTTGGGGAGTTGTTGGTCAAAGGATGCAAAATTTCAGTTGAGGTAGGAAGAATAAATTCATGAGATCTTTTTTACAACATGGCAACTATAGTTAATAACAATGCATTGTATTCTTGAAAGTTGCTAAGAGAGTAGATTTTAAGTGTTCTCATCACAAAAAATGTACGATAATTCATATGTTAATTCATTCAATTTAGCTCTTCCACAATTTCAAAACAATATGTTGTACAGGATAAATATGTGCAATTTTTGTCAACTAATTTTTTAAAAAAAGATCAAACTGTCAAAGCAGATTCACACAAATCACATGTCATGCGTGCAACAAAATTAACTAAATGTTAGCAAAGAATATTAGCACAAGACAGCCACGAGCTCCATGAGTTTCTATGAGGTCCTGAATCCATCAAACAAGCCTCTTTGAAGTTCTTTTTCACACACCAAGATGTGAGGATCACAAACTGTATGTGGTATAGTTTGGCACAGTAGAGGCCATTCCAGTTTGAGGTTTCTCAGTTTGGGTATTTTAGTAGGCTGGTAACAGCTTTTGTATCCAGCTGCATCCTACAAATTAATAAAATTCTAGGCTTAATTAAAATAAGTTATCCAGAGAGATCAGAGATATTCTGTAAAACCGTCTTTCACAAAAACTTAATCTTCTTGTAAATGGATCCCATCACAGTGTCTCTGAGAATATTCGATGAGGGAAATAATGCCTTTGATGCCCCAGAGGAAAGACAGGGAGAATTAGAACTCCTTTTAATTCTTTCCTCTCAGTGCCTCATTGTTGGTGAGGCTTATGGCAACCAAATATCTACTGAAATATCTGGCCTTGGTCAGGACTGACACAATGCAAGTCTGGCGCTTTAGTCATTTTTCTTCTCTGCATCTTGACTCATGCGGGCATTGTTTTTACTTTGATTTTGGTTACTTTCGATAAAATTGTAAATTGTGTGTGTGTGTGTGTGTGTAAATTATTTGAATTGTCCAAAAACTTCTTAGAAATCAAAGATAAGGGCATTTTTCATAAAACGGTTACATTTTTATTAGGAATAACATTTTTTTCTATAGAGACAACCACAAAATATTTAAATTTCTGACCAAAAAAAATATGAAAAGAGACATTTTCATTGTAGTTTTTGATAGCTGAACCCCTGAGTTTATCTGACATAAATCCTTACTTCAGCAACATCCTGAGAACTGACCATGGAGCTTTCAGTTAACACTCCTTTGGTAAATTTATTATTTTGCTAAGTAGCCCATTCTCTCTTGGATCAACTATATTTTATACATTTAACACAAAGCATTTCTCTTTCACTGTATCTCATTTTGCCTTCCAGGGTTACACTATGTTCAGTCAAATCTTTATACCACATGTTAATACTTCAGTTGTTTGAAGGCATGTGGTATGGTAGAAAGAACACTGAACTAGGAATCAAGAGACTTGAGTTACTGTTGCAACTCTACCACTAACTAGCTTTTTAACCTCAATATCCTTGTATCTCTTCTTGTTCCTAGTATCTAAAACTGGAGAGTAGCAGCAGTAAACTAAATGACTACAGAACCCCTGTGCCTCTCTTTTTTTCTGTGGCTTTAGCATTGTCAACCATCCAGGGAAATGTTGAGGGGAGCCTTTCATGTTTCATTTTAAATACAATGTGGCATACAAATATTTCATATTAAATACAACATGGCATAGAAAGTTGGTGCTCACCTTTACTTGTGCTTTTGGACATGCTGATAGAATATCTTTCTCACTCCCCAGGCACTCATAGGGCTTTGGGACTGGATTCTGACTAAGGAAGTGCAGATGAACAAATATGGGGTACCCCTTCCAGGCCAGGGCTCGAAACTTCTCAAGCTCTTTGCGTGTGCTCCTGCACTCTCTTTCTCTCTCTTTCACTTTTTTTGTTTCTTGGCCAGATATAGAGAACCCATTAAAGGATGCCAAGGCCCTAGAAGACAGACAACCTAGAGAGAAAACCCATTAGCCTGGGCTCCTAAATGATCTGTACTAAACTGTGATGTAAAAAAAGAAATATTTAATACAACTTAATGTAATTAAGTCTCTGAAATTTTGAGGTTGTTTGTTTTAGAAGTTAGTTTATCCTTTGTCTAAAAATAACACTTTCTCCTTTCCCTGAAGGTGAATAAGCTCCACTTTCTCCTTACCCGGAAGGTGAATATAGATTTATATAATTTATATACCACTTATTCATTTCAGAAAGCTCCTCAATTATAATTAAGAAATTGTCACAATCCCTCATGGGGAAAGATGTACTTTCCTTCTCATTTTAGGCTACAGAATTTTGGGCAATGAAAAATGAATTGCAGCATACTCAAAAGCAATAACTATTTCCACCAGGGTACAGAATTCATTTGTTAGAAATCAAATGCTATAACTACCAATGTTTTATTTGTATAATGCCCACATTTATTAGAAATTTGCAAATGACGGTTTTCTCTGCTTAACATTTTCCTTTAATTTACTAAGGTGCCCTTCTTGATTAATGTCACTTCTTGTTTTGACCATTATGCACATTGCTAGATAAAGCATATGAATATGGAAATAGTAGAGGCATTTTAAAAACATCAAACTTTTTAACTTTAAGGTCCTTACACATTTTCATTTTCAAAATAATGATAATTAAATGCATTGTTTTTTAATTTTGTCTGCCTCTAACACATCTCAAGGTTAAAAACAATAAAAAACATATTGCTTAATTAGAGCACATGTGAAGACTATCCAATGCCAGTGAGAAAAGAAAAAACATGTTAATTACTCAATCCTCTAATACCATTCTAGAAGAGTGGCTTCTGGTAATTGGAAGACTATTTGCTGAGTGAGGTGATGTCTGTGGGTATGCACGTTTGCTTGTTGGAGCAGTAACCAGGCTGACTTTTCATAACTAAAAACAAGAAATTATTCAGAGATGAGGAAAAGATCTGGAAACAAGGAAAAGAAGAGCTAAACAGATTAAATACTGAGCAGAGAAAAAGTGAAGATGGAAAGCTCCCTGGCCATTAGCAAAGCTAGAGAATCTTATGAAAACGACTTAAGAGGGTTGTGTGCTGCTGGCTGTGATAGAAAATGCTTCTTTTCCTTCCCTGTGGAAGCTTCAGTAATATCTATGTTGCTGACGGTTATTTCTGCTGGTAACGAAATAAGTTCTAAGTCCTGGCTGCAGGAATGTATAAAGCTGAGAAATAGAGATTTGAACAACAGCTCCATAAATTTAACAAAGGTCAAAATCTTGGTCAACAACAGGCCTCCTACTGGAGTTTCAGAAAATTGTTACCGAGCAGTACCATCGGTCTGTCTCAAACAACAATCTCTCATCGCCCTCAACCTACCACAGGACTTCTCAAGGTTCTCATCTCTTTCTCTGCCCCGGCATAACTTCAGGAGTAAGGGACAGTGAGCTCAGTAGATAACCTTGTGCATATTTCCTGGAAACTCTATCCCCACTCAGCATGCTTAGTGAGGATTGCACCTTTCTGATCTTTTCTGATGTGATCTTGCTCAACCCTCCTTCATCTCAATAGACTAGTATTTCTTAACTTTTTATTTACTGCACAATTTTATAACAAAAGAGAATTGAACAAAAAAAAAAAAGAAAACAATCTCACCGTCTTAACATACTGTTTCATTTTTTTTCTGGTTCTGTTTACTCCTAATCCTTATAAATCAACAGTTTATATAGTTGGGACTATAGTATATATACAATTTTATGCTCTGCTTTTAAAATTTCATATGTGTCATACAAATCTTTTCATGTAAATGTTGCTGTGAAGTCTTTGAAATTACTGTATTTAATATTGCAGGTATTCTAACAGATTGATATAAACCTTGGGTTCTTTTCTTTACTTTTCTTTTTTCTTTTTTCATATAGTGAAGCCTTCAGTCTTTTCCTTAGAACCAGGCCTGAAAAGTCCTCAGTTTCTTGCATGAAAAACCATTCTTTGGCTGCCTCCTTCTGCCTACTGTAAAATCTCATTCTTGTCTGTATCTGATTCTTCTGCACAAAACCTTTCTTGACTGAATATCTCCAGACTTATTTTTAGTAGCCCCTTGCATAATCCTTTAGGTATGATTTTACAACTCATGATGAACTTGGCTTCAGCCTCTAGATTTTTTGATTTAAGTAATTTGGCATGGGTTAACTAGAAGTTCATACAGGTGAACTCTGGAAATCTTAAGTAAATTTAAATTTAAATCATTCTTCTGAATGGAGAAGATATGTATTTACTAAATATCACAATGAATGTATTGTATGGAGCATAGAAATACAAAATATCATTTGATCCCTATAAAACCTTAAGAAATAGACATTATTAATTTTTATTTTCTTAGAGGAAAAAAACCTTAGTGCCACAACTTTAACATGATCGAGGACACATTACTCGAAAATGGCAGAGCCATGTAAATTTGAACCTAGTTCTGATTTCAATTTCCATTATATTTTCTTGCATTGCTCAAGTATCACCACAGATTCCCGTTGTATGTACATCTCATTTACTTTTTGTCCCACAGTAGTGAACTGCTAGAAGGAAACATGACAAAATTTTAATGCTTTTTCTGTTTGTATTTTTTAAATTTTGTTTTTTTTTCTTGTGCCCAAAGGCACAAGTTTTACTTTTAAAATCATAATAAAAGTATATAAAATTTAATGGGCATAAGGATATTAACATTTTATCAAACAAGCATGTGTTTTGTGGTCAGATAGATCAGAATTTGAATCCAAGTACTACCACTTACTTATTCTCTTTAGCCTCATTTCCCTCATTTGTGTTGAGGTAATGATAGTACCAATCTCAAAAGCTGATGAAATGAGATAATATACTAGTTATTATGCCAGATAATATACCTGGCATCTAGTAAGTCTTCAAAAAATCTTAGCTGTCATTATTTATTATACTGGCTTTCTCGTATTTAAGTACTTAAAACTCTTAGGTATGCTGAATATTTGGTCTTGATTTCTCAATTCTGTGGTTACAGTTTTTAGTTCATTTTAATGCATTGTTTTGAAAATATGTCAGTTCTATGATAATAAATCCTGTGATAGCATTTAGCACAAGTGCAGACAAAGGCTTTAGCTTCCCCTGTGGGTACATCATAGTA
Source organism: Homo sapiens (assembly GCF_000001405.40). Lineage (NCBI taxonomy): Eukaryota > Metazoa > Chordata > Mammalia > Primates > Hominidae > Homo > Homo sapiens. The sequence continues at coordinate 104,227,411 of NC_000009.12, forward strand.
ATCATGGCATCAACAGCAACATGCTTCTTGATTAGATCAATTAATTCAGGAAGACAAGATATTTATTTTGCATTTTTCAATTTTTATGCTCCATGGTGACTTCCTATTGTTAAATGCTTGTCATTACTCTTACATTTTATTTCATCTAGACCACTGAATGGTGTAATGAACTTACAATTACATATATGAGAGCAATTTATCTAATATCAATTCTCCACCAAAATCATGACCTATAAGAGATAAAAAAAAAAGGGGGTACTAAAAAGAGTGAGAGAGAACATTATAGCTCTGCACAACTTTTCAGAACTTTCTTTAATACTTAGAGGTATTATCAGGTGAGAATTAGAGATTGGAAATGTTGATTGGTTTTTCATGTTTATTAGCCATTTGAATTTCTTCTTTCATTTTTATTTATATCATTTGCCTGTTTTTATTGTTTCTTTCTCTCCCTCTTTCTCTGCTTAAGCAAAAATGGGAATGGATCATAAGGACACAGAAGTATTTCACAATTTCACACAACTCAATAGCAAAAAATGCACCTGATCATCACAAGGGTCTGGAAACAGAAACTGGGGAGAAGACTAGATTCTAAATGTCAGTATGAGGAGTCCATCAGGGATTGCAATCTGTCATGGCTCCTAACTAGTCTTTGTGACAGGTAAGGAATACTAAGGAAGAAAACTCTACCATTGTAATTTAGGATTAGCTGGTGTATAGACCCTAACTACTTAAATTTAGAGAACAGATTTTTAGCGTGTTCCACAGGCATAACACTGCAGCACTTCTCTGCCATCCAGTGAGCCATGTCCTCTTCAAGGAGTCTGCATCAGCACTTGGCAGACCTCATTTTTGGATTCTCTATTTCAGTTCTAGCAATAACATCTGGTCCTAATGTCTATTATTTCTATATTTTGTAGAGTTTTCTTCACTTCTTATGGGCCAATCTCTCATGATTCCAAACTCCATCATAGTTAATATTGTTTCACATTAAAGGTTTCCTGTTCAAATCACTGGATGGTTTCTGTTTCTTGATTGGACCTGGACTAATTCTAATTGAAACTGCCCTAAAGGCCTTATTTCTTACACTTTAAAAAAGCCATCACTTTTTGTTTCCTTGTATTGTTACTCATGCTAATACTATGAATGGTTAATCACTATTGATCTTTGCCTTTTTTATTAGATCAGAGATCCTCATTGCCATTACTGATAGTTTAAACTGAATAATTCTTTGTTACATGGGGATTCTCTGTGTGTCATAGCATGTTTATCAGCTTCAGAATCACTCCTGGCTGAGAATCACTGAATAAGATAGTTTTCCTCTTTTTAAAAAAACATGTGGTTCTTTCATTCATTTGGGATATATTTGGGTTTTTAGAATAAAAACAGAAGCTTATTTTATTTTCTTTCTGAACATATAGGCCATTGTCCCAGGCCAGATTATTAAACAATGCTTCCTTCTTCACTGATTTAAAATGCTGCCTTCATCTTTTATTTCTTATGCATATTAGTTTATACTTTAGAACTATTTTCTATTCCATTAAACTTTCATTCATTTCTACAATCTTTTAATTATTTTGGCTTTATAATGCATTTTTAAATATCTGAGAGGTTTGGGTCCCTTTAATAACTCTTCTTTTTCAAAATCTACATACCTATGCTTGTTCATTAATGCTTTCAAATGAGCATTTAAATGGTTTTGTTAAGGTTTTTAAGTGTTTTCTTTGAACAAATTGCATTTAATCCATTAATCACGATAAAAATGATTAACATCACTTACAAAGAGCCACTCTTCTCAGACAGGAACTTCATAAAGTCATTTATTCAAATCTCCCTTTATGCAAGTCAGCGACACTTCATCATTTTCTTCATTAAAACCCTGTATATTTCTTGTTCGGTTTATTTCTAGATATTCTCTATTAAGATTGGGAATAAGGTTATTTGTTTCAATATATTTTTAACTATTCAATGCCAGTGTTAAAGTTATAGGCCAGGCACAGTTGTTCATGCCTGTAATCCCAGCACTTTGGGAGGCTAAGGCAGGCAGATTATTTGAGGCCAGGAGTTCGAGACTAGCCTGGCCAACATGGTGAAACCCTGTCTCTAGTAAAACATACAAAAATTAGCTGGGCATGGTGACACACACCTGTAATCCCAGCTACTCAGGAGGCTGAGACAGGAGAATCGCTTGAACCCAGGAGGCAGAGGCTGCAGTGAGCCGAGATCATGCCATTGCACTCCAGCCTGGGTGACAGAGGGAGACTCCATCTCAAAATAAAATAAAATAAAATTTAAAAGTTATAGATTTTATATATTTATTGCATACCTGACTTTATTAAACTCCTATAAATCTTATTTTTTAGCTAATTTTCTTGAGTGACCAAATCTATTTCAATGTAAGAATTTTAGTAAAATACAAATTTTTCATGAGACCATTATCTCCTCATAGAAAGTAGAATCTTTATAATTTTCTGAGAGATTTTCTCATCTCATTAAAATCTTCTTAGAGAGAAGCATTGGAAGGCATACATTGGAAGGAGATAAGGTAATAGTTCTCTGTGAATATAAAAGATAATGTCGTATATTTTTCTCTCTTTTCTCACTCCTTGATATTACAGGGTCAGTGCTGGCATACATTTGCTGCAAGATATGAAGGTATTGTCAATTCAGTTTGGTTCAACTAACATAGTCAAATATCTTTTATGCATCAAACTTGATCTTAGTTCTGGCAAGAAAAAAAAAAAAAAAATCTCAGTCCTTATCCTAAAGGAGCCTATTTCCAAAGAGTAGAAAGGACAAATAGAAAATTTCAAAATAATATGGTGTTTACTGTGAAAGTAAAATGTCCAAAATATGGTTGTTATCAGAGATCAAATGAAGGAGAGCTAAAGCAAGTCCTCATGGAAGAATGGATGGAGATCAATGAAAGATTTTCCAAATAAAATTGCATGTAAGGTGGACAAGAAAGATTTAGCCATGTTAACGGTGTATGGAGTAAGATGGGGTGGTGAGTTGTTGAGAAAGAAGGTACTGCATAAGCAAATTCATAAATGTATTGGGGACATATATGTATGTGTTGGGGACAGAGATACTATACATGTTGTGGAATTGCTCAAGTTTAAGGCAAGGAGAATAATGGACATGAGGCTTGAAGAATTAGGTAGAGACTAGATCTTAAAAGTTTTTATATTAGGAAAGATACTTGAACTTAATTTTCTAGGTGATACGGAACCTATGTGTGTGTTGAGTAATACTGTCAGATTTCCTTTTTATAGATAGAGCAGTGTGGTGATGCTATGAAGGATAGATTAATGGGTGTAGTGTGGACTAGCTTAAAAATAAAAAATTAAAAAATCAGTAAAGAGGCTACTGCACCAGGAAGGCAGTTACTCCAAATTGAACTAGTTTGTTCTAGCAATGATGTAGTCAAAGGGACAGATTCTAGAGACTGGCAGGATTTGTTAACTAATTGGATAGTTTGATGAGTTTGTATGGTGTCAATTAGCTAAGCTGGAATTATGTTTTTCAGAATTCCCTTTACTTCCTTGTTCCAGGTTAACATGGGCATTGTAAAATATTTTGTGTGAGATTTGGAAGACAGGTGTGAAACAGTAGTTACACATTTAATGCAGGGAATGTCATTGAGGGCACTGGGCACGGCTGTAGCGCATACACACTGTTGTTGATATACTGGCTTACCTAATTGGCTTGGGCAACTGCTGGTGCCACAGCTTCTCTAGTTCCTGCTGGTTTTTCTTCAGCTTTTCCTGAGCCAGACCCAGCACCACATGAAGAAGGAAGAGTCATACACCAACTTTGTAATCAGTCTCCACAATTCCTTGGAGTCCAATTCTAACATACATCTATATTTTCTGTCATTTCTTGTGGCTCTATTTTTCTGATTAAATCACGACTGATAATAGATATAGAGAATGATAAAGAGAAGAAGTGTACCAACCCACTAGATTTCTTTGTGGAGTCATTTGGTAGATAATGGCAGGATACATTGTAATAGAGGATACATGAGAGGAATAAATCTGGAGTATGTAAACTCTGGAGTTAGTATGTAAACCCCCAAAATCAGCTTTGAAGTGTGGGATCTGATTTGCTTGAAACATCTATGTGGTGATGCCAGTTGGAATGGTAGATAGTTCTTTATCTTAATCCAAGAGGAGGGATCAAAGGTAGTGACACTGTATTGAAGCAATTGTATAGGGGGTAGGTAAAACCATGATAATTGATGAGGTCACCCAGAGAAATCAAGGGGTAGAAAGTGAATTGGAGAGGGTACAGTACAGGAGGAACACATCCTAATTTAAGATGTGTTCGGGGAGAAATTGACCAATAAGAAGACCAAGAAACAGTGGTTTTAAAAGGTGAGAAGAATAGGGGGTGGGGGTAAAAAGAGTATAATGAAAACAAATAATTTTAACATATTTAAGAATCAAGGTCTTCTATATCATTTGGGGCAGAGAGTTTTTTTGGATTTGTTAATATGAAAATTACAACTAGGTAACCTTTGGCTCAGCAGTTTCTGTGGGGTAGCAGGGGCATAAGCCAAATGTTCAAATTCATTGAGCACTAGAGTGAGTATAAAAGTGTGATGATGGTTGAAAATGGGGCAGGAAAATGGGGAAAACTGCCTAGAATCTGGAGGTAGATATGGAGTCAAGGGAGGCCTTTTTCAGCAATGAGAGGTATATATATTCTAAGGGAAGTGATCTAGTGGAAGTATGACAATGAAGCTATAGGAAAGTGTTATAATTGGTAGAGCAAACAACTTGGGTAAACAGAAGAGAATGGAGTCAAGAGCCTAAGGAAAGAGTTATCCGTGAGGAGAAAGAAAGGCATTTCTAAGACTAGAGGGGAAAATGTGATGATATTTGCAACTACAGATGGCTTTGCAGGCAGGGAGGTGTGCTCTGTTTTGCTGATCAATACGAAGCTGTCTCCTGAAAGTGAATGAGAAAGGGGCATGCAGCATATGAGAAAAGTAATGTTTTGGAATAGTCACTAGAGGAAATGTGGAGATAAACCAAGTACAGTGAGAAATTTGGTTTTCGGTGGATCATCTAAGGAAACTATGTTAGAAAAGAAAAGCTCTGTCCTAGGAGTGTCTTGCTTTGAAAAGGCATCATATCTGAAAAGCAAAGAAGGCTAGATGTCCTATATAATGCCCATCTGTATTAGCTGGTTCTCATGCTGCTATTAATAATAATAATAAGGACACACCTGAGACTGTTATTTATAAAGGAAAGAGGTTTAATTGAATCACAGTTCAGCATGGCTGGAAAGGCCTCAGGAAACTTGCAATCATGGCAGAAGGGGAAGAAAACACGTTCTTCCTCACATTGCAGCAGCAAGGAGAAGTGCTGAGCAAAGGGGAAAAAGCCCCTTAGAAAACCATCAGATCTCATGAGAACTGACTCACTATTACAAAAGCAGCATGGGGGAAACCACCCCTATGATTCAATTACCTATCACCACATTCCTTCCATGACATGTGAGGATTATGGGATTACAATTCAAGATGAGATCTGGGTGGAGACACAAAGCCAAACCATATCACCACCTCAACAGGAAGGGCAGGAAAGGAGGCAATGATGCAGCTGGCAGAAATTATTTTAAAAAGTGGCAATTGGGAAATGAACAAAGGAAAGGTTGTATGGCAGATGGCAGAGTAATAGATGTTTTTACAAAGCAGCCTTGTGAGAGGCAAAGTTGTGGTGTAATGTATTTCCTGCTTGGAATATTCTCCTATATGCTGCCATGTGTTGCTATGCAGTTATGGAGAGTACAAAAACAGCCATTCTTTAGCTGATAGAAACATTCCTGAGGATCTATGATGTGCCAAGATTGGGTTAGTCACAGGGAATGTAGCAGTGACAGATATGGTCTCTCTTCCCTAGGAGGATGTAGTCCAGTGTGGAATACAAAAAGAAATAAGAATAAATATTGTGATAAGAAAAATGAATGAACTAAATATAGGATGTTATATACAGAGTACAGAGAAGATAAAGTTTAAGGACATCTGGATGTTTGTCGGTGTCTCACTTGGCCATGTCAGAATGAGTAGCTTAAAGTTTACACAAACCTTTATCAGTAACACGTCCTCAAATTAACCTGTATTTCTGGCATCACAGTAAAACCAAGGAGTAGGAGTCAAATCAGGACAGGAAAAATGCCAAAAACCTCACATTGTAATTCTCAGAAAAATTTGCACAAAGTGTGCATTCCAGAAGTGTACCTGTAACCTCAGACACACTCCTATGATGTGTACTTCCTATGCCTGTATTGTTAACAGTGTACTAATGGGGCCAATGGCAGATAGATGTCAACAACAAAAATCAGCTTTTCTATATTGTGTCCAACTTTACTTGACTACGATTTTTGTCCTGGAATTTAAAAATACTCAATTCTGATCTATTCAAAATTAACAATTATGTTTATCTGACAGAAACACTAGTCTGAATGCTGTCATGGCTGTGCTATATTCTACCTTCTTAAGAGGCAGTCAGTTAAATAGATTCTCGATTAGGATTCCCTCTGGAATTAACTACCACATTCTAGTTAATTGGTAAACAACTTAACATCCATCTTGCTCAGAACTCATATAGTAGATTTTCCAAGTTGCTACCAGTTGCCAAATGGTCTTTGGTAATTAGAAATCCTAGAAGAGACCAGCACTGTTTTATAACCGCATGCCTTCATTCGTGGTGTGTTACTTAAACCTAGAATGTCTTTCTCCCTTTCTTTACCTGTCTATATTCTGCTGGTCCTTCAAGACTCTTCCCAGAGATCACATCCTCTTTTTTTTTTTTTTTTTTTTTTTTTTTTTAGTATTTATTGATCATTCTTGGGTGTTTCTCAGAGAGGGGGATGTGGCAGGGTCATAGGATAATAGTGGAGAGAAGGTCAGCAGATAAACACCTGAACAAATGTCTCTGGTTTTCCTAGGCAGAGGTCCCTGCGGCCTTCCACAGTGTTTGTGTCCCTGGGTACTTGAGATTAGGGAGTGGTGATGACTCTTAAAGAGCATGCTGCCTTCAAGCATCTGTTTAACAAAGCACATCTTGCACCGCCCTTAATCCATTCAACCCTGAGTTGACACAGCACATGTTTCAGAGAGCACGGGGTTGGGGGTAAGGTTATAGATTAACAGCATCCCAAGGCAGAAGAATTTTTCTTAGTACAGAACAAAATGGAGTCTCCTATGTCTACTTCTTTCTACACAGACACAGTAACAATCTGATCTCTCTTTCTTTTCCCCACATTTCCCCCTTTGCTTTTCGACAAAACTGCCATCGTCATCATGGCCCGTTCTCGATGGTCGCTGTCTCTTCGGAGCTGTTGGGTACACCTCCCAGGTGGGGCAGCCTGGCAGAGGCGCTCCTCACATCCCAGATGATGGGCGGCCGGGCAGAGGCGCTCCTCACCTCCCAGATGATGGGTGGGTGGGCAGAGACGCTCCTCACTTCCCAGACTATGGGCGGCTGGGCAGAGGTGCTCCTCACTTCCCAGACGATGGGCGGGTGGGCAGAGATGCTCCTCACTTCCCAGACGGGGCGGCCGGGCAGAGGCGCTCCTCACTTCCCAGACGGGGCGGCCGGGCAGAGGCGCTCCTCACTTCCCAGACAATGGGCGGCCGGGCAGAGGCGCTCCCCACTTCTCAGACGATGGGCGGCCGGGCAGAGACGCTCCTCACCTCCCAGACTATGGGCGGCCGGGCAGAGGTGCTCCTCACTTCCCAGACAATGGGCGGGTGGGCAGAGACGCTCCTCGCTTCCCAGACGGGGCAGCCGGGCAGAGGCGCTCCTCACCTCCCAGATGGGGCGGCCGGGCAGAGGCGCTCCTCACCTCCCAGATGGGGCGGCCGGGCAGAGGTGCTCCTCACCTCCCAGACGAAGAGCGGCCAGGCAGAGGCGCTCCTCACCTCCCAGATGGGGCGGCCGGGCAGAGGCGCTCCTCACCTCCCAGACGGGGCGGCCGGGCAGAGGCGCTCCTCACCTCCCAGACGGGGCGGCCGGGCAGAGGCGCTCCTCACATCCCAGATGAGACAGCCGGGCAGAGGTGCTCCCCACTTCCCAGATGGGGTGGCGGCTGGGCAGAGGCGCTCCTCACATCCCTGACGGGGCGTCCGGGCAGAGGTGCTCCTCACTTCCCAGACAGGGTGGCCGGGCAGAGGGGCTCCTCACATCCCAGACGATGGGCGGCCAGGCAGAGACGCTGCTCACTTGCTAGATGGGGTGGCGGCCTGGTAGAGGCTGTAATCTTAGCACTTTGGGAGGCCAAGGCAGGCGGCTGGGAGGTGGAGGTTGTAGCGAGCCGAGATCACGCCACTGCACTCCAGCCTGGGCAACATTGAGCGTTGAGTGAGCGAGACTCCGTCTGCAATCCCAGCACCTCAGAAGGCCGAGGGGGGCAGATCACCCGAGGCCAGGAGCTGGAGACCAGCCCGGTCAACACGGCGAAACCCCATCTCCACCAAAAATACAAAAATCAGTCAGGAGCGGCAGCGCGTGCCTGGAATCCCAGGCACTCGGCAGGCCCAGGCAGGAGAATCACGGGAGCCCGAGGCAGTGAGGTGAGGTTGCAGCGAGCTGAGATCATGGCAGTACAGTCCAGGCTTGGCAAGAGAGGGAGACGGTAGAAAGAAAGGGGAGAGGGAGGGAGAGAGGGAGGGGGAGGGAGAGGGAGGGAGAGGTGGAGGGGGAGGGGGAGGGCAAAATCACATCCTCTAAAGCACGTTGCCAGAACCTCCTTCCAGGCTAGGTTAAGTGTTGTTTTTGTTACTTATTTCTACTCTACCATGTCACATAAAAATAATCTACAACATGTTTGTTCCACCCAGTTTTTCAGGGCTATGATTTTCTATCTCCAGGAAAAATCACAGTCCATTCCTAATAGGTTCAGCATGTATTTTTGTACTATTGTGTTCCATTTTGTTTAGATAATGCACAACAAACTGCAGTGGAAACTTCCTTGTAACTAGATATCCTTATTCACAGAGGAGACGTTTTACCATTCATTCAACAAACATTTATTCATCACCTACTTTATGATAACCATTACAAAATGTTTTGGGGACATCAACAATAAGTTAGCAGATCTGATCCCTGCTAACTCAGTGTTCACAGCATATAGAAGCTAGGGACTGGACTCCTGTGCATACTGTGGGTAGAATTCTTACCAGAAAGGCTAATACTAGCCCTGTTAGAGCTCTCCTTTAATCTCTATCTACCTGCATACGGCTTGAAGCCCACAGAACATTAAAGATCATTTCAAGTGGGGTGTCAGCCAAAACTATGCTAGTTGTAGTGGTTAATACGTGTTATTTGCTTTGCATAGGATATATATGTGTAGAAGCTGAGCACAAATTGGAAAATTCTAGAGATTACGAGTTTTCTTTTATACAATTTTGAACTGAGACCTGGGATGGTACATAAGTTGTCTGAGGTCACAAGACAGGTTAGTGTACGAGCCAGAGGGTATCCCAGTTCTTTTTGGTGCTCATTGTTATTTTTGGAACATTGCTTATGAATCATATTTGCCAACTTACATTTTTGTAAGTATAGCTGGCTTTTGAAAAAAAAATGTCTTTCTTCTAGTATGGAAACGTGAACATCTTAAAACTTTCTAAGACACTTGTTCAATAAACATGAGTATTAGCTATGAGTAAAACATAGATGACACTAAATGTTTTACTTCCTGTCCAGGTTGTAGCTTAGGGTTTCCCAATTTCATCTACAAATTCATTCACCAATTATCTTAATTAGTCAGATTTTAATTCTAAAGTGGTTACAAGGATAACTTTTACACCCAAAACTTAATAAACTGATGTTGCACCTCTCCATCTTAAGTCAGAATGAATTGCCTAAATAGAGAAAGCCCTAAAAAGTGGCTGTAATAGAAAGGTATACCATAAACAATATGTTTGGGGTCAAATGATGAACAAGAATAAAAATAGTTGATAAAATGCAGAGATGAAACATTATGGGAAGCCAAGGTTATCTATTCTGAAACAAAAGCTTGTCACTTTAATGGTACATGAAATCTGAAACTTTAGTCTCTAAGAGAGTAACTTTTATTAAGAAGCTATTTTATGCCAGGCACTGCGTGAAACACTTTAATTACAGCGCCATGTTTAATCCTCATGACAGCACGACGGTGCTAACATTTTTATTGTCATGCCTTGCCATGTAGTTTAGAGATCCAGAAATTGAAGGGCTCAAAGAAACTGCACAACTTGTTCAGCTTGTACAGCTAGCTGAAACCAGGCTTCAACCCAGGTTTGCTTGTCTCTAAAGCCTAGCCTCTCCAATTTGAATCCTTGTATTTCTCATCAGAGAGATAGCCCTATTTCAGAAAAATATATAAGCCACTAAAAACAATGAAAACAAGCTTTTAACTTGGATACATACAAACACACACATATAGATGGACATGTATTATGAACACGTGTGCGTGCACACACACACATACATACATAATCTATATGAAACCTTGAATCCTAATAACTAAAACAATTCCTACATAATTAATTATTTTCAACACTAACATTTATTAGGAGAAATAATTCCTATGTAATTGTATCTTGGAAATTATGGAGAAGCATAGCTTTATGAAACATAGTGACTTAATGTTACCAAATTGTAACTCATTTTCTCATTTCATTTGAAAAATAAAAAACTATTTATATTCGGGTGAGGACTTAGAAATTCATTTGTTTAAAGTTTGGTAGAACTAAATTATTTTTCAGCAAGACAAATAACCTCTGTTAGAGAGTGCTATTTCTTGCTGTACCGTGTCCTTTTTAAAAATATATATAGATTTTGAGATTTGCCCCAAAAGTAGATATTGCCTTTAAGGAAAGGACGTTAAGACCCAGTGAAGAAGAAAGAATTGCACCAAAAGAAAAACTTAGCAACATGAGAAATTTATGGAGAAGGACATCATTTTCCCCTAGAAGCTTTGATGATGTGATGTGCAAATGACAGCCTTTGACCACCATTGGCAGGAGAAGTCTGTCCTTCCTGAAAACCATCTAAGAGTGCTGAGTGGATATTTGCCTGCACAAAGGAATGTGACCACGTAAAATTATTTCTTTTTCAATCTGTGTCACCTATGTGCTACCTGAGGCTTTCATAAAAATAGATGAGAGAAAGATATTAAGATATAATGTACAAGAGTAGATATTTACTCATTTCAGCTCAGATGTGCCAAAGAATGTATTTTTAGTTGTTTTCCGTAACTTAACTAATCACTAACTGGAACTATTGTTCAATCTGATGACTTCAGGACAGGAGCGTAGGACCAAATGAGAGGTAAGACTCTAAGAGAAGATCTCAGTGCCATTAGCACTCAAGCATTTTAGATTTAAACAGTCTATTTCATGGCGAAGAGAGTAAATAATCAGTCAGCTCAAAGTGCAAACTCCCTATTAGGGATACCCTCTTCTCCTATCTGAGCAAGAATGGACTCTGACTCCTTCATGCAATGGAGGTGCGGATGTCTCTTCTGTGTGGGCTCCTAGTTGATTTAGTTCATCCTTTATATCTCTGGCACTGGCCTCTTTTCCTACAGCATTTGGTGATAGTAAAACTGGTAGTGCCTAGCATATGGGCATGTGCTAGCACCAGTGCATGGTGCTGCCATTGCCTTGGTTTGTAGGGTCTGTATTGCTGCATCTGGTCATCTCAACCACAGGATTCCTCAGATTCACCTGCTGCTCAGCACTCTTGAACCTTCCTAGTGTCCCCTGGATATTCTGCATGCTTCACAGCCTACAAGCAACTGAAAATACTGCCTTTGCCATCAATCTAAATATGTCCCTCTGCACATGCCATCATTATTCCCCTACCACGTTGAATCAATTGCCACATGGGATGCATGGCTTTTCTGGAAGGCTGGCAGTTCCCTCCCCAAACTAGGTCCCAGAGAAGTCCAACAGTTTCTCTAATCACTCCACCATCATTACTACCCTGTGCCACCACCTTGAGTAGTGAGGGATTGAGTTACCTAATGTTCTTTCTACTTCATTTTCTCTAAAATACAAATTTTAAAAATGCTACATCTAGATCTGTCACAGTGACTCACACCTGTAATCCCAGCACCTTGGGAGGCTGAGGCAGGAGGATCACTTGAAGCCAGGAGTTTGAGACCAGCCTGGGCAACATAGCAAGACTCCATGTCTATAATATGTATTATTATGTATTTGCTACATAATAATACATATTATAACTGCTACAGATTTTATTGGCAATCATTTTTATACTTGTAATTTGCGTACCTTCCTTTTTGAATCTACATTTTATTTTAAATATAAGATATAACATAAACTACTTCATATCAGATAAATTATATTTCAAATAATATTCATAGTTTATAAAGTACACAAGGATATCTGACCTCTATTTGTAAAAGGGACATTATAAGAAAAGGAAAATGGGGAGGAAAGATAAAAAAACTTCAGAGAGAGTGAATAGAATTATTTTCAGTATTCTAGAATAAGAAAATTGGATGGTATTTCACTCGTTCTAATAGTTTATATTGGTGGAATATCATCTATACTATCTTATACTATCTTAGCATGAGTAAACATCCCACCCAACAATATGTTTTATTTTTTCTCTCTTGTACATATTGTAATTTTTATTAGGTTAAGTTTGTATGAGACCTTCAGGTTAAATCTGAGAATAAAAGAAAAATTAATTGAATGTGGCTATTTATGGAACATAATCAAGAGCTTGTTGAATCTGAAAAGATAAACAGTACACTCACAATTTCTAGAACAGCTACATCTTTCACATGGGAACAATTGTCTCTCATAAATTGGTTTAATTGTGAACGGTAGCTGGAAAGTTAAATTATAAAGCTAAATAGAATTCCAAGTGCTATTATTGATCACCAAATTAACACCAGATCCAATTTCTTCAAAAAGTTGTAATTAATCTTATTGCATTTAATTGCTGTCTTTTATTCATTATTAATCACTTGTAGTAAACCTACCTTCACAAATGGGGAAGGCTGCACCTTAATTCTACTAAGCAGCAGCAGAAAGGCATACTCATTATCTGGGTCTCCAAACTAAAGCAAATAATTTTATCACATGACTCAGGATCCAGATACACTATAAACAGGGCAAACTAGGGTTCCTTTACTGCTAATTACATACAGCTCTTTAATTCTCGTAAATACCTTGGATAATACATGCAAAGTGCAAACATATTTTGGACAGGGGCACAATATCATCTGTGGTTTGAGGCAGAAAGAGAGGTGATGTTAAGAGGCACTGGAATTGACATATCACCGGAGTTAGCTTTTGGATGCAACCTAGGTGCACGTTGTTTTAATAAATGACATGTTAAGAAGTGAATAAAGTATGATTATGAACACTTGTTTCTTTCAGGTAGTCTAATGCCACCTTTGAGAAATAAGTGTTTTGTTGCTGTGGTTGAAAAGCAGATACTTAATAACAAAGAGTTATACATTGAGCAAATGTAGCAGCTCTGGCAAGATGGCAGACTCAGATAATATGAAAAAAACTTGCTAGTAACATCTAAAAATGCTGTATAAAACATAACTTTAAAAGAGATGAATTGCTGAGCTCAAAACAAAAAGAAAGAAGGGGTTGCTAGTTGACAGAAAAGAAGAGGAACTGAAAATCAGAATGTTAAGTGCATAGGCTGAACCACTGCATGGGGGCATGGGTATTAACGGCTAAATGGAATCAGGAGAGCCTCTGGGGCCAGCCAGGTAAAGAGTTAAAATTTCATCCTAATAGAATTGGTAAGCAAGGTAATATGGGATTTTAAACAACAGTCTATTAATTCTGAGGGATACCACGTACATTTAGTGGCTCTTGTGTTAAAAGAAGAATTTAGAGAGGTGTTGACATGAAGCTGATCCTTGAAAGATTAAACAGGACTTCTATAAGAAAATAAAGGAAAAAAGACAATCTGAGGCAAAAAAATTCTACCCATAAGCAAAGAGACATCAATCAATTGCCAAAAAGAAAACTCTTAGAGATGAAAGATTTCTAAGATGCTAATGGTTCTGACATTCTGGGGCACTATAATTTAATGCTGAAATTATGAGTTTCTAATGGTGTATGAGAACTATGAGGCTTCCGCTATTTTTCCACGCTGTCATCGTGAATACTTGAATACCTCCTTATCATTTCAAACAAATAGAACAATTTCCATTCAGGGAGTACGTTTTGTTTTTATTCCCTCAATTTCCTTTTGCTTGTGTTTACTATGTACCATTTCAGAGGTATTAAAACATTTAATGTTTGTATGAGTCTTCATGTGTATGCGCATGTTTTCATCCTGTTTTAGAGATGAGTAAACTGTAGCCCAACTAGAAACTGGTTTGTTGTCATTTTCAGCTCTGCTGGCAGCTGATGGATCTTGCAATTCTAAAAAATAATTATTCCTTCCTGATATATTCAGTGGCGCCATGGTATCCATGGGGGATTGGTTCCAGGGCCCCCACGAAAACCAAAATCCTCATATGCTCAAATCCTTTACATAAAATGGTGTAGTATTTACATATATCCTGTGCATAGCCTATCATATACTTTATATCATCTCCAGGTTAATTATAATTCCCAATAATACAATGTAAATGGTATGTAAATAGTTGTTATACTGTGTTTTCAAAATGTGTATTCTATTGTTATTTTTTATTGTTTGGGGTTTTTTCAAAATATTTTTGATCCATAATTGGTTGAATCCACAAATGTAGAGCCCTGCAGATACCAAGGGCTGACTGTAGTGAGATATTTTACGGATGTCTTTTTTTTTTTTTTTTTAATTTTTTTGAGACGGCGTCTCGCTCTGTCGCCCAGGCTGGAGTGCAGTGGTGCGATCTCTGCTCACTGCAAGCTCCGCCTCCCGGGTTCACACCATTCTCCTGCCTCAGCCTCCTGAGTAGCTGGGACTACAGGCACCCGCCACCATGCCTGGCTAATTTTTTGTATTTTTAGTAGAGACGGGGTTTCACCGTGTTAGCCAGGATGGTCTCGATCTCCTGACCTCGTGATCCGCCAGCCTCGGCCTCCCAAAGTGCTGGGATTACAGGCGTGAGCCACCGCGCCCGGCCGATATTTTATCAATGTCTTATTGAGAATGAAATGGATTCTTATCTTTGTAAGTTGAGACAAAGCTCCTATGAATACTTCGACCTTACAAGCCTGCACAATAACTACTGAAAGCTTTTCTAGAGCCATATGCTGCCATCACCAACCCTATCTATGAAGGGAATGTGTGTGGAGAAGAAACAGCATTAATTACCATTTTTGCCAAGTGCAAGCAATAATTGCTAGCATGCAGAGATAGTCATACAAAATAATAATTCAGAATTACTGTCCTGATCCCAGCCTGCATATTCAGAACCTCCTTGCTCAACTCCTGCAATCCTGTTTCCACAAATATTTCCAGAAGAAATATTTGCCCATCAACATTCTATTCGTTGTAGTTACAGGCTGATATACACCATGCTATTCTCTTGCTGTAGTTCCAGTTACTTTTTCTACTTCATTGATTATATTTCTTTCTAACAGGAATAATAACTAACATGTTTAGCACTGTGAAGTAAATACTCCTATTTCTATTTTCAGATGAGCGTACTAAGGCACAAAATGCTTAAGTTTAATGGCCAAAGTCACTGATTTATTAAGAAAAATACTAAATTTTGAAATTAGGTTTTCTCACTCCAAATTGCACTACAAAAAACAACTTTTGTGGAAGTAACAATGTAAACATTTACTTCTGGCTCAGCATTGCCTTATGCAGAAAAAGAAAAGAAAGTATCTAGCCCTGTTTCTGTTAATTGTCTTGTTCTTTCACTCGTGTTTTTCTCCTTCTCCTACACAGTAAGAATCTAGTAATTTAATTTCACAAGAGAATACAGCTGATGGATTTTTTGGGGTCATTTTCACCTGTAAATAATATATACAAAATCACACAATTTTGTTCATGAAGTTTGTCATCCAACAACAGACTATATTTACTCATGAGGCAAGTATATAAAACAAGTTCATATATTTCTTTTCTGTGAATGCCATTGATTGTAATAACAGACACAACCTGATCTCTATAGAAGAGTGTACTAAAGGTTTGTTGGCTCATTCCTTCCTATTAAACCTCCCTTTTTCTGCTCTTACTAAATGGCTATTGTAGGAGTAGAAAGATCTTTGAGGTCTTTTCCTTACAGGTACTACATTTAGTTTTCTGTAGTGGACCCCAGCTGATCTGATATGTGCTAGCCCAAGTATACTTTATGAATTAACTCAGAATAATCTTGGGAGAGAACAGCACACAAAAAAAGAATGGGCTCCATTCTATAGGGGAATGGTACAGGTTTAAGTGTGTCTTCCCAAAATTCATGTTAAAGCCCTAAGACCCAGTACCCAAGAATGTGACCTTATTTGGAAATTGGGTTGATGCAGATTAGTTAGGATGAGATCATACTGAAATAGAAGGAACCTCTAATCCATTATGATTGTGTTCTTATAAAAAGGGTACATTTGAACATTAGAGACAAATGCTCAGGGAGAATATCATATGAAGACTGGAGTTTTGCTGCTGCAACCCAAGAAACTTCTAGAAACTAGCAGAGAGACTTAGAACAGATTCTCCTCTAATGCTTTCAAAGGGATCATAGCCCAATCAACATCTTGATTTCAAACTTCTGGCCACCAGAAATGTGAGACAATACATTTCTGTTGTTCTAAGCCACCCAGTTTGTGGTACTTTGTCATAGAATCCACAGAAAACAAATATAGGATGTATAAGGGAGTTGATTACTAGAGTTTCTTTCTGGGCATATAGATGTTGCCTGGAAATGTCTCAATTATTCTAATTTGTTTGTAGGCCAGATACATCTCTTTCTTTTTTTTAGATGGAGTTTTGCTCTTGTCGCCCAGGCTGGAGTGCAGTGGCATGATCTTAGCTCACTGGAACCTCTGATTCTCAGGTTCAAGTGAGTCTCCTGTCTCAGCCTCCCGAATAGATGGGATTACAGCTACCCACCACCACATTTGGCTAATTTTTGTATTTTTAGTAGAGACAGGGTTTCACCATGTTGGCCAGGCTAGTCTTGAACTCTTGACGTCAGGTGATCCGCCCACCTTGGCCTCCCAAAGTGCTAGGATTACAGGCATGAGCCACCACGCCCAGTCCAAAAGTGTTTTTTAAATCAGACTTTTTATGATGATAAAAACATAATGGCTGATAGAATATTGACTTACCCTATGACACGACAATGATAAAAGTGAACTTTCATTAAGTGTTTTTTATATGCCAGGCACTATGTGAAGCTCTATATGTGCTATGCCTTTTAACCCTTTTGAGAACTCAAAGATATAGTATAAATTTTATTCCTGTTTTAGAAGCAAGTAAACCTAATTTCTGCTAAAAATTGCT
Organism: Homo sapiens; assembly: GCF_000001405.40. Taxonomy (NCBI): domain Eukaryota; kingdom Metazoa; phylum Chordata; class Mammalia; order Primates; family Hominidae; genus Homo; species Homo sapiens. The sequence continues at coordinate 104,244,837 of NC_000009.12, forward strand.
GGCAGTGAATTAAAACCAAGTCTATCTGATGCCAAAGTTTATGCTTTTAACAACTTTACTAGAATTAATAGGAATCACAAAACGTTTAGCAATAAACATGATAAATACAATTGCACACATGTCTTACATTAACTTTAATTTTCTCTTCTCTAGAATGTTTATAAAGCTTTAGCCATAATTGGCCAGATCACTTTGTGATCCATTTTCCAGTTTATACCGCGTGCTAATCCATGGCATCTAGCACAAGGCCTAGCTCATGGTAAATCTCAAAATGCAGTAAATGAATTAAGATTTAGATGAAGTATTATAACTGTTTTTTATACATCTACAGAGACAGTGAAAAGGAATATTTATTCAGCACTTCCTGTATGAATATTTATTCTGCACTTCTTGTATGTGAGTTACAGTACTGAACTTGTAAAGAGAAGAAATAGTCACTGCTGTCATTGTGCTTCATTTTGGAGCTGCATTGACCATTATAATAACCAGTAGCTACATGTGGCTATCGAGTACTTGAAAAGTGGCCACCTCAAATTGAGATGTACTCTAAGTGCAAAATGCACACTGGTTTCAAAGACTTCGTTTTATAAAAAAAAAAAAAAAATCCAATAATTTATTATGTTAACAACAGGTAAAATAATATTTTGGACATGCTGGATTAAATAAAATTTATTATTAAAATTATTATATTTTATTATGAAAATTAACTTTACCTGTTTCTTTTTTACTTTTTTTGACATGGCTACCAGAAAATGTAAATTTTACATATGGCTTATATTATATTTCTATTGGGCAGTGATGTTCTAGAGGACAGGAGAGACACATTAATGGATAATTGTAATCAAGGCTAAAATTTCTATGATTCAGATATGCAAAGATCCTATGGGAACACAAAAGAAGAACTTCCAAATCAGAAAGCAGAGTTCAGTAGGACTCCCCATAGAAAATAACATTTGCTACAAAATTAGCCAGGGCTTGCTGGAGAGCAGCTGTAATCCCAGCTACTCAGGAGGCTGAGGCAGGAGAATCGCTTGAAATCGATTTTGCACCCAGGAGGCAGAGGTTGCAGTGAGCCAAGATGGCGCCACTGTACTCCAGTTTTGGTGACAGAGGGAACTCCGTCCCAAGAAGACAGAGAAGGAAGGAAGGAAGGAAGGAAGGAAGGAAGGAAGGAAGGAAGGAAGGAAGGAAGGAAGGAAGAAGGAAGGGAGGGAGGGAGGGAGGGAGGGGAGGGGAGTAAAGGGAGGAAAGGGAGGAAGAAAGGAAGAAAAAGGAAAGCCATATTTGCATTTTTGTCTTCTTTCCTTCCTGCTTTCTTGCTTTCTCTCATTTCCATTTGTTCCTTATACATTATACCAGCTTTTACCCCCATAAACCTCCCTATTTAAGTACAAATATATATATAAAATTGAACAAATCATAACACCACTGCTGATAAATTCCTTCAAAGGGCCTATAACTCTGTAACCAGCACCTAGACCAAGAAATGGAAAACACAGTGTCCTAGAAGTTCCCCATGCTTCCCAGTGTCCACACCACCAAAAGTAAACAATTTCATTGACTTCTCACACCAGAGATTAGTTTGGCATATCAATAAAATTGTGCATTATGTATAACCCTCTTTTTTTGACAGTGGTCCAGCCGTTGGACATCAGCTATACCATCCTTTTGTTTAAATAAAAGTGAACAATCTGGAATCACCAACATATATGAGAGAGAAGGAGAGCAGTACTAAGGAGAAAAAACAAACAAACACAAGTTTTTAAGGGAACAAAATAATTTAGGGAAAAGATAAGAGATGTAATGATCTCATATTCCACTAATAGAATTACCATAAGGAGAAAACAGGGAAAACTAAGAGGAGGAAATTATCAAAAACATAATGGAAGAAAATTTCCCAGAACTAGAGGACATAAGTCTTAAGACTGAAAAGGCCCATCAAGCGTTCAGTCCAATAAATGAATAAAGATATACACATAGCCTTAACTTTTTAAAACTGTAGGCTATCAAAGATAAAGAGATGACTCTAAAAGCATCCGGAGAAAAATGACAAGTCACTTATAAAGGGATAAGAAACAGTGGCTTCAGTTTGGCATCAGCAAAAGTGGATGTCTACTAGAGAATGATGTAATAGTGATGTCTAAAAGTTCTGAAGAAAAGTTATTTTCCACCCAGAAAATTACTATATTATTATTATTATTATTCAACCAATAATCCTTTCAGGCACACAAGGAATTTAAACTTTATCTATCATTAACATTTTGTAGAAGGTTATTTGATTGAATTCTATAAAAGAAGAGAGTAAATCAATACATTGGAAGATTAGGTAATCCAGGAAAGAGTAAATTCATTATAGGAAAGCAAAGCAAAGAAGTCCCCTATTTGCGGCTTATTAGCAGACCTAGAAGACAAATAATCTAGGCTGTGACAAAATGATGATGCTCTGTTAAGAAAAAAAAAAAAAACAAGAAACAAACCTCCCAAAACAGAAACAACCTAACATAATAAAAAGTATGACTAAAAATGGAAAGTAATTAAGAATGGTATAAAGACAAATAATATAAAGATAAAACAAAGTCATCATTCAAATATTAAGCAAATTGAAATGTGATAAGATTTTAAGCAATTATTTGGAGGTAAGAAATAGTAATCCATTGGGTCTGATGCTAGTAACAGTCTCCCATATGTAGTACAGAGGTCATGATATTGGTTTCAAAGAGAAGAAAAGTAATGCTAACACTCTCCATGGTCTGATTATACTCACAAAATTTTAAAATAACCCAGGCAATGTCTTCTAACTTTTAGGGTCAACCTACAAACAAAGCAAAGAAGTCTAGGATCTGGTTGCAAAACAGAATATGAATATTAACTGACAAGATAAAAATAAAAGTGAAGCTGATGCAAGTTGAGAAGTGATAGCTGGAAGAGGTCTGGGTTGGATGAAAGTGGAGGAAAGAGGAGGGATGTTAATATCTTCCAATTAGAAAGCAAGAAAACGAGGGAGACTGATGAAAATTGATGGAAACAATTACATAGATCATTAATAAAATAATTAAAATAACAACATGATTATCTAGCAGAGAGAAGGAAGGTAGAGGATGGATATAGGGTAATTGACCTAAAACCTCATCATTCATATTGAAGAGGCAGTTGATTTATTCATATATTAATACAAATAATAGTAACTAACTCTAGCTGAGTAGCAGGAAAGAAATTTGTTAAAAGAGTATTAGGAAACAGGCATAATTGAGGAGATAGTAATATAACCAAGTCTGGGATTCCAGGAACAATGTCTAATACCACAAAGCAAAACTAATCTAATAAGGAAATTTCTATCATGGTGACTGCCTTACTGAATACTGAAGAAAACCAGCATTACTGATGCCTTCAAAGCTCCCCACTCCATTCCACTGCTGTGCCAACCCACACAACTGAAAAACTGACGCCCATTTCCTCAAGTCACTTACTTCCAAATCAAGCTCTCATACTGCTGAGTCAGACTGGATAAAATGAAGTCACGTATTTGTCCCCTAGCACGTCCCATGCCTGCAAAGGCTGGGGGACTGAGATTTCTTATTTTTATCTTGTAGGATTCTCATGCCTGGAAGTTCACCAGACATAGTAAGGGTATCTTAAGGTGCTGCACAATCAGAAAATTGAAAAAATGCAGTCAAAAGTTGATTTTTTTTTTTTTTGAGACGGAGTTTTGCTCTTGTTGCCCAGGCTGGATTGCAGTGGTGCGATCAATCTCTGCTCACTGCAACCTCCGCCTCCGGGGTTCAAGCGGTTCTCCTGCCTCAGCCTCCTGAGTAGCTGGGATTATAGGTGCCCGCCACCACGCCTGGCTAATTTTTTGTGTTTTTAGTGGAGACAGGGTTTCACCATGTTGGGCAGGCTGTTCTCAAACACCTGACCTCAGGTGATCCACTGGCCTCGGCCTCCCAAAGTGCTGGGATTACAAAAGTGAGCCACCACGCCTGGCCTAAAGTTGATAAATTTAAAAAAAAAAAAAAAACAAGGTATAAGCCGATAAACTTTGAGATAGGCACCAGGAGAAATAAAAAGCAGACAAATATAAACAGCTCACATCCAGGACAGTGAAACAGAGGGTAGAAAGAAAAGTAACAGACGACTTTTTATAAGAAGCTCTTCAACTGAACTTGTCATGACCACCAGACTTGCATTTGATAACAGTAAAAATTGAAAAAAAAAAAAAAGAGTAAAGATGAGGACACATGCTTAGACAGGTAAACTAGTACATGATGGAGTTGGAAATGAAACCAAGTTTTTCCTTTAAATACTCATGGGGTACGATTTAACTTAATGTGACAGATAAGGTGGAGTTTAAGCAGAGCTCTTCAATGCTAAATGATTTCTTAATTTTAGAGAATATTGAGAAAGCCTGCGTTTGTGTGAGAGCCTGAAGAAACAATGGTGACAGGGAATTAAGGAGTTTGAAATAAAAACAAAAGGCCGGACATTTTCAGTTTTAAAGAAAATGTCAACTAGGATAAATAAATATAGAGTTCTGAGGAAATTGTCAGTGGAGGTATGAACTAAGCAACCTTGTGAAGGAGAGTTTCTACAGCTAGAATTGCTGTCTCTTTTGGCTGGACTTTCTGTCTGTTCTGGAGAACAGTTGACTCATGGCAGACATTTTGTTTGGTTGAGCCTTCTGATGGGACAAACTTCATGATATACTGGTAAGCAGATATTTTGAATACCATCTTCTGTATTTGGAGTCATTTAGCTTTTAAGTAGCGTATTCATATTATAATTATTTATTGATATATAACCTACACTTAAGGGCAAAAATATTTGGTACATAGCAATATTAATTTTTACATATATAAACAACCACATAACCACCATTCAAATCAAGATTTTGAATATTTCCAGTATCTCAGAAGTATCCTCATGCCCCTCCCAGTCAGTACCCCTCAAAGGTAACCACTACTCTGACCATTACTGTAGATGAGTTTTCTGGCTTTTGAACTTTGTATAAATGCAACCATACACCAAAGAACCTTTGGCATCTGACTTCATTCACTCGTGATATCTGTGAGATTAATTAGTGTTATTGCATGTATCAGTAGTTCATTCGTTTTTATTGCTGTGTAATAGTCCATTGTCTGGGTACACCCGAATCAATTTATCTATTGTTGATGGATATTTGGATGGTTTCCAGTTTTTGCCTATTATAAACAAAGCTGTTATGAACATTCTTGTACGAGCCTTATTGTGTTGGATATTTATCCAGGGGTAGAATTTCTGTGTCACAGGGTATATGTATGTTTAGCTTTGATAGTCACATGTACATATATTATGTCACTGCCTTCTTCAAAACAATATACCCCTTTCTCACTGATATTCTCTCTTCTAGGTTCACATCAAATTAATAAACTTTCTTATGTTATCATCCACATAGAACTTTCTTTTTATATACTTGGATCTCTATTCCCTTTTCCCCCTTTTGCTTTCCCCTCCACTCTTTAACTTCTATTTTTTCCAACATCCATATTTTCTTGCTATGAAAAAGTAAAAATAATCATTTTCTGCCTTTTTGCCCTATTTTTACAATGAGGCAAGTTTTTCAGTGATGAGTTGAACTATTATACAAATGGTTGAATGTCTGGCTAGAACCTTTTATAATTTGTGAATTTTATAATAAAGCAAGGATGTTATTCTGTTGTCAACATTCACCCTTAATGGTAAAGAAAGCCCTTAGGACATAAATTCAAGGTGTAGGATTTCTTTTAGGTAACATTTTTTCTATTTACATATTGAAAACCTATAGACATTGGGTTTTGACATTAGAAAATATATGTATTTTAAAATATTAAAACATAAATATTATTTATTAACTATAAATAATTTTTTAGATTAAAATTGGACATCAAATCCTTAAGCGATTACATCTAGATTGGTATTTATTATTAAAAGGAGCCCTTTCCCAATGCACTCCTAATCATTATTTTATATATCTAATGGTGGTGGCAGGGAGGTGAAAGCCTGGAGGCATTTTGACAGGTACTGGTGACATTGGGAGGTAGAGTCATAGGAAAGATAGAAAGACAAATAACATTTTTTCAAGCCTCCCAGTCCTCTAAGGTGAAATAGAGTTGGAGACTTTGAGTAAGCCAGTAGAGCTCACAGAAAGTTTGGGAATCTGTTCTGCATGGTTCCATTAGGACTGAGCAGGAAGACATGTTTGTAGATATACTTCTGAGACTATTGCTCTGGGATTCATGTGAAGGTAACACTTAATGGTGCTACACAGCAAATCTTGGGTATACTTTATGATGAGAGATTTCATTTCAGCTCTGGCTACAAGCTGGAAATGGCTCTTCCTGCCTCAAATTATTTAAAGCCATCTCCCCATTATAACAAGTATACATGAGAAAGGACTGCTGTGCCAGAGAAGACCAGTAGTTAGGAAAATGGTTGATGTCTTCTACAGAGCATGTTGGAGGAAAGCAAATCTCTAAAAGTCAGCTTGTAAATGTTCAGAATGAAGGAAAACACTACTGTAAGCAAGTACACAGGAAAAAGACTAAGACTAAGAACTCACTTTCATGGGCTTAGAAACAATGCAAATTATATTGAATAAAGTAAGTTATTGTTACCTCACATACTGTATTAAATGCAAAACAAATTAATGAAAATACCTCTTATTTTGCACTTATATCAACTGCATTGGTAATTGTTATTTTAGACTGCAGTTTTTGTCTTGCTTTTATGTGGGAATTTGGATCTGTGTCATCGTACATTTGTATCATTAATCTTGCAATTAAAATATGTAATATGAGAACTTTTAAGATATTGTTTTGTTTGGCTTTCTTGTTTTGGTAATTTGCAGTAGAGAATAAACAGTGTTCACAAACCCCAGTAACTGTACCACTAGTTCAGAAGTTCCCTCTGCTTGGCTAATTGCTATCAACATTTTAGAGTTAATACTGAATTTAAACTTTCCTATAGTCAGAGTCTATTACTAGATATCATTTTGAAAAATAAAAATGGAGATAATAAATATGAAAATTTTCATTTTTAAATAATTTATTTTATTTTTATAGATTCAAGGATTTGTTTGCCCAGGTTTGTTACATGGATTTATTGCGTAATGGTGAGGTTTGGGCTTTATTCTACCAAAAAGGTAATTTTTCAACCCTTAGCAACCCCTCGTACCCGCCTCACTTTTGGAATCCCCAGTGTCTATTATTTCCTTCTGTATTTCCATGTGTACTCGTTGTTTAGCTGCCACTTATAGATGAGAACATGTGGTATTTGATTTTTTGGTTCTGAGTTATTTCACTTTGGATAGTGGCCTCTAGTTCCATCCATGTTGCTGCAAAAGACATGATTTCATTGTTTCCATGGCTGTGTAGTATTCCATGGTTTATCTATATCACATTTTCTTTATCTGATCATATATTGATGGACACGTAGGTTGATTCCGTGGCTTTGCAATTGTGAATAGTGTAGTGATAGACATATAAGTGCAGTGCATTTTTGATATAATGACTTCTTTGAGTAGATCCCAGTAGCATAGTAGAATTGCTAGATTAAATGGTAGATCTACTTTTAGTTATTTGAAAAATCTCCATAATGTTTTCCGTCTAGGTTGTACTAATTTACATTCCCACCAACAATGTATAAGCATTCCCTTTTCTCCTCATTCTCACCAACATCTGTTACTTCTTGACTTTTTAATAATTGCCATTCTGACTGGTGTGAGATGGTATCTCATTGTGGTTTTAATTTGCATCTCTGATGATTAGTGATGTTGAATATTTTTTATATGTTTGTTGGCTGCTTGTATATCTTCTTTTGAGAAGTGTCTGTTCATGTCTTTTGCCCACTTTTTAATGGGATTATTTGTTTTGTTCTTATTGAGTTGTTTTAGTTCCTTGTAGATTCTGGATATTATTTCTTTGCTGCCTGCATAGTTTACAAATATTTTCTCTCATTTTGTAGGTTGTGTGTTTACTCTTGATTATTTCTTGTGCTGTACTGAAGTTCTTTAGTTTAATTAAGTCCCATTTGTCTATTTTTGTTTTTATTGCATTTGATTTTGAGGACTTGGTCATAAATTCTTTGCCTAGACCAATGTCCAGAAGAGTTTTCCTTAGGTTTCTTTTTGGGACTTTTATAGTTTCAGGTCTTGCATTTAATCCTTTATTCAATCTTGAGTCAATTTTTGTATATGGTGGAGATAGAGGTCTAGCTTCATTCTTCTGCATATGGCTATCCAATTTTCCCAGCATCCTTTATTAAATACGGGTGTCCTTCCTCCGTGGTATATTTTTGTCAGCTTGTTGAAGATCAGTTGGTTGTAGGCATGTGGCTTTATTTCTGGTCTCTATTCTGTTCCATTAATCTGTGTGTCTATTTCTTTACCAGTACCATACTGTTTCAGTTACTATAGCCTTGTAGTATAGTTTGAAGTCAAATAATGTGATACCTCCAGCTTTGTTCTTTTTACTTCAGGATTACTTTGGCTATTCAGGCCCTTTTTTTTTTTGGTTCTATAAAAGTTTTAGGAAGTTTTTTCTAATTCTGTGAAAACTGACATTGGTAATTTAATAGGAATTTCATTGAATTGTATATTGCTTTGAGCAGTATGGTCATTTTCACAATAATGAGTTTTCAAATCCATGAGCATGGGATTTTTTCAATTTCTTTGTGCTATCAGTGATTTTTTTTTTTTTTTAGTGTTTTGTAGGTTGTCCTTGCAGAGATCTTGACTCCTTGGTTAACTGTATTCCTAGATATTTTATTCTTTGTGGTTATTGTAAATGGAATTGAGTTCTGGATTTGGCTGTCAACTTGAAGAAAGTCATTTTCTTAATGGCAAAATCATTAAGTATTTTCAAAGAAGATTCATGGTATTTATTTCAAAAACAGTCAGAATACTTTCTCTATGCCATAATTCAATAATGTCTGTTTTTTTTTCTTCTGGAGATGGAGTCTTGCTCTGTTACCCAGGCTGGAGTGCAGTGGTGCAATCTCAGCTCACTACAACCTCCGTCTCCTGGGTTCAAGTGATTCTCCTGCCTCAGCCTCCAGAGTAGCTGGGATTACAGGCCCATGCCACCACATCCAGCTAATTTTGTATTTTTTGTAGAGACAGGGTTTCACCATGTTGGCCAGGCTGATCTCAAACTTCTGACCTTAGGTGATCCACCTGCCTCGACCTCCAAAGTGCTAGGATTGCAAGCATGAGCCATCACACCCAGCCCAATAATGGCATTTTTAAGAAACCTTCCATTATTAAAAATCACATAAAAAAAATGATTCAGTAAAAGAAAAGTTTAGAACTAGAAGTTTTCAGGATTATAATTGCCAGTAGCTCCAGAATAATGCAAGTAAAACAAATTTGATTCCTTAATTACATAATCAATATCATAGCTTATTCAAGCTATGAAAACTCTCAGGAGAAATTCCTATACTTCAAAAAGCATCTGGCCACTCTTCCTTCTCATTCCCTTGCATTCCCATTGCTTTGATAGACAGCTAATGAAGCTTGCCCAGACCCGTCTTTTACAAAGAACAGAATATAGTAAACTCAATATATTAGCAGCATTCTAGGTGTTATATGCATATGAAACATTTTACTTTCTTGCCTCTATGAGCTGAGACAGGACTAAAACTAATAAGACAATTTATATTTGAAACAGTGAAGTTCTTGGTTTGAGCTTTATATCAGTCCATATCAGAATCCAGGCCTGTCTGGCTTTGTTTAGTAGACTAATAGGGCAGCCCACCAGGAGTCTATTTGCATAGGGACCAGAAGGTGCTAGGGTGCAGGAATCAGTCAGGAGAATGAATAAAATGGAATACATTCAAGCAATGGATTATAATTCCAGTTAAAATGAACAATATATATCAACGTGGATGCATCTCAAAAATTCAACACTGAGCATAAAAAAGCACGTTGAAAAAGGACAGAGCACAAGTATGACGCTAGTTGTTTAAAATTTAAAAACAAAGTACTACATATTGCTTATGGACTTTTCTAAACAATAATATGTGTTGTTTATGTTTTTTAAAATTATGGCCTAGTAAAGTAAATATCCATTTTAAGAGAGTGATTTTCTCTAAGCACAAGTGCAAACTGGATGGGAGGAATGAGATATCAAATGTATCTATAGTTATCCCAGCCATTAGGAAAAAAAACCTGGAAAAAATAATAGTTTTTTTAAAATCACAGATTTAAAGCATATCATTTCCTCAGTGAGTACTAACAACCTTAATAATGTAGGTCTCTAAACAGTCAGGCAAAGTACAATAATTAGGGTCATTGGCTGTTTGGCACAACAGCTTAAAGGTCTGAAGGCAAAGCAAATGCAATGAAAGCAAAATACATGTTTGAAAGGAAAATACCTTGGGCCCTCAAAATCACTAAGGAAAATTCAATCTGGAAACTGCTTAGGGCAAACCTGCCCCCCATTCTATTCAAAGCTGTCCCTCTGCTCACTGAGATACATGCATATCTGATTGCCTCCTTTGGAAAGGCTAATCAGAAACTCAGAAGAATACAACCCTTTTTGTCTCACCCATTTGTGACCTGGAAGCTCCCTCCCTACTTCCAGTCTTCCTGCCTTTGCTTCAGGTTGTCCCGCCTTTTCAGACCAAACCAATGTACTTCTTACATATATTGATCGATGTCTCATGTTTCCCTAAAACGTATAAAACCAAGCTGTGCCCCAACCACCTTGGGCACATGTTATCAGGACTTCCTGAGGCTGTGTCACGGGCATGTCCTCAACCTTGGCAAAATAAACTTTCTAAATTAACTGAGACCTTTCTCAGATTTTCTGGGTTCACACATGGGAACCAAAATGTTTTTAACTTTTCTGAACGACTTTGAAAAATACAAAACACTCATTGCTAATATGATTGAATACTGAGGGGTAATTTAAAATTATTGCAGAGGTAGATTAGATAAAATGCCCCTGGGGTTGTTTGTGAATTTTAATAGAATTTAGAGATGAAATAAATGTAGAAATGATCTAGTCCTATGGTGTGCCCTGACACTTAGGAATTTAAAAAGTAAGTAATGGAGATGAGGGTGGGAGAGGAATGAAGCAGTTTATTAATTGTTTGCAACAAACCAAAAAGCTGAACGAAATTTTTCACTTGAAACTGTCTGCAAAATTATACCAGTGAGATAAATCTAACATAACTTACTTCATGTTGCTTCTAACTTCACAAGTGTAGAAAGTAGAAAAGTTCCTCTTCAAAGCTCATCTTGGTTTAACAATAAAATATCAGACACGAGGAATAATAGCTTCTTACTCTAAAGCCTCCTATCAACTATTAGTTCTTACACTTTAGCCCAGTTAATTGCTTTGGCTTACTCAGGCATATCTGGACAGGCCCAGGCAAGTCTTAGCTCATAGCTTATGCCCCTTCCTTATTTGGAAATGTTATTGCTTCCTTAAACTTTTCATAAGCAACTCCCCCTTCTTCTTTGTTCTCCCTTCCACTTACCTGTTTAGGAAAGTTTTAGGTTGTTAGCAAATTGGGTATCAGTTTAGACTGTGAGGTCCAGCTCCAGCCAATAGATACAGCACACAGCAGTAAGGACGACCCAAATGCATAAGGGATAAATATGTTTGTTTTTCCTTTGTTCAGTATACTCTTGTGGCAAGACTGCTCTGAGTGTACCCTTTCTGCAGAAAGTAAAAATGGCCTCGCTGAGAAAATTAAATTTATGTTCAAGTGCTATTTCTTTGTGGCACTGGGGAACAAGCATTTTGCATTTCTAACAACAAGCTAATGATTTTTGCTCATTTCTGTGATAGGCCATGTTAACTATGGGAGGAATTTAACTGACAGTTTATCTGAGGAATTTAGTTTATAGTTTAACTGTAAGCCAAGGTGGATAATAGTCATTTTCCAAAGGTAATGCCCTCCTTATTTAGGGACTGAAACTCCCTCTGTAAAACAAATAAAAACCCACAAGGTTAAAATTATAGTAGTGGCCTGGATACTGTTAATATACAAGAATAGTTAAATAGTAACCAGTCATTGTTTCATAGCTTGCTTTAACTTCCCCAATTGTGAAACCTAAGACTGGTCATTACAATATTTTTCAGACTTTGCATTGTGATGAACCAACTGATTCCACTGGGACTGGTGACTTCTACCCAGGAACTGACTTAGTGCATGAAGACAGTTTTGGCATCCCTGTGATTTCATCCCCAGCCCTGCCAATCAGTAGAACCCCTTTCCTAACCCTCTGCCCACCAAACAATTCTTAAAAACCCAAGTCTCCAAATTCTAGGGGAGGTGGATTTGAGAAATATCTCCTACAATCCTCACTCGCCTGCCTTGCAATTATTAAATTCTTTCTTTGCTGCAACACCTGCTGTCTCCAGGTATTGTTTTTTTCTGAGCAGCCAGCAAGAAAACGCCAACTAGGTTGTAACACATTCACCTATGAAAATAAATTTCCACTTTCCTTTGATTTTGCCTGAAATTATAGTAATTCTATGTGGTATTACTGATTAGCTCATGCTAATTAAAAGATCAATTTATTTATGTTTGATCAATAAACTTTAAGGAAATGATTATTCTATAACACTGTCTATGGCAATAAAAATTTTCAAAACATTGATTTATATAAAAAGTAAGAGAAAGGGCTCTTGGTAATAAAAAGGATGAGAAAATGTACATAGCGTAGTAGTTTTTCAGAAGCTGGAAATCTAGAAGTTGGAATGGTCAGGTCTCATAGCTGGGGAAGAGGAGAGAGTCACTGGTTTTCTAGTCCAGGACACTTTGCATGCTAATATATTATTGTCTTTGTTGTTAAAAGAGAAAATGAGACAGAAACTTCCTAGACTGACATGAATTTCAAGTAATAAATAACTGAAAATGCAGTATTTCCAAAAAGAAACAAATTGGTAGAGATGTGGGTACTCTATCAACTGGGAAAGGCTATTAAGTAAGATAATTACAGAGAAAGCAAAATTGAAAGGAAAGTAACATTTATTGAGTACTTACTTTGTATACATGAGGATTCTTCTAATACTTCATTTACCTTAACTCTCTCAATTTATTATTATTATTATTCTCATTTCACAAATGAGAAATATAAAGTTCACCAGGATTAAGTAGTTTGCTTGTTATCATGTGGGAAGTTCTAGGCCAGCATTTGAAGTCAGGTCTCTTTCTACACCTTCATGGATGGTGAATGAGCCAAGGTTGTTAAGATAACACAGCCTCAATCATTTTTTTTTTTTTTTTTAGCTAATTTATTCCGTGGACCCTTTTTGAGCAGTCTGGTGAAGATTATGGAATCACTTTCAGAATCATGCATTTATGTGCATACAATAAGATTATGTTTATATTACTTAATACATCATTTTATGCATACACAATTCCTACAAAGGAAGGAGTCCCTAGAGGAAAGAAATGAAAGGAATGGTGGTCTCTATGAGAAGGTAAGAATCAGAATTTCTCTAAAAGATTTTAAAAATAAAAGTGAAGAAATGTGAAAGGAAAATAAATCTTGGGGCCCCAAAAATCACTAAGGTAAAGGAAAAAGTCAAGCTGGGAACTGCTTAGGACAAACCTGCCTCCCGTTCTATTCAAAGTCATGCCTCTGCTCACTAAAATGAATGCACATCCAACTGGCTCCTTTGGAAATGTTAATCAAAATCTCAAAAGAATGCAACCATTTGTCTCTCACCTACCTGTGACCTGGAAGCCCCCCTCCCTGCTTAAGTTGTCCTGCTTTTCCAAGCGGAACCAACGTACATCTTACACATATTGATTGATGTCTCATATCTCCCTAAAATATATAAAACCAAGCTATGCCCCGGCCACCTTGGGGCACATTTTGCCAGGACTTTCTGAGGCTGTGTCATGGGTCCATGTTCTCTGTGATACCTCACTTTGTTTTAATATGAATAGACTCTCCCTTTACTGAGAAAGCTGGACGGACTCCATTTGGCTCCTTCATTTGCAAGACATCAAGGGCTCCTTACCCACCCCATTCCTCAAGGACTTAACTTGTGCAAGCTGACTCCCAGCACATCGAAGAGTGCAATGAACTGATAAGGTACTGTGGCAAGCTATGTCCACAGTTCCCAGGAATTCACACGGGTGACAATACCCTAAGCCTCCGCGTTTGTGTCGGGTAGATAGCACCCAGAGCCCCCACACCTATCACCTTGTGATGAATTTAAAGCCCCTGCACCTGGAACTGTTTGTTTTCCTGTAACCATTTGTCTTTTTAACTTTTTTGCCTGTTTTTACTTCTGTGAGATTGCTTCAGCTCGATTCCCCCTCCCCTTTCCAAACCAAAGTTTAAAAGAAAACCTAGCCCCTTCTTTGGGGCCGAGAGAATTTTGAGCGCTAGCCATCTCTCAGTCGCCGGCTAATAAAGGACTCCTGAGTTAGTCTCAAAGTGTGACGTTTCTCTATAACTCACTTGGTTACAACATCTCGATCTTGGCAAAATAAACTTTGTAAATTAACTGAGACCTGTCTCAGATATTCAGGTTCATCTTTCTCAGTGACAGGATCTGATGGGGAAACTGAAATATCATAAGCCCCAGAAATTTATGCATATGTGCTGTAGTAAATTAAATCTAGAGTAATCCCCATGAGACCTTCACTCAACTCCCCACCAACTCGCTCCTCCAGCTTTCATCCCAATGTTCTACTTTGGTCCTTTTTTGTATCTTGGACATTTTGCCATCAGAACAGTTAACACTTTATAGGGAATCTATTTCTTTAAAAATGTGCCTTTCCCACTAAAATGGGAAACTCTCAAGGGCAAAGATGATTATTTATTTGCCTGTGTATCTGGGTGCCTACCACAGTACTTAACCCATATCAGACACACAGTACATATATTTTTAATTTGTCTGTATTTGTTCAGTTTATTTTTCCATCAAAACAAACTCCCTGAACAATAATCCTTTAATATTGCCTGTTATATATTTTATACCCACTAAAGGCATTACATTAGGAACCCTCATGGATGGAGTTCAGAGAGTCTACAAGATCCCTGGGTACATGCACAAAATGTTAGGTGTATATAAAAAGGAAAAATATCTTTTTCAGCAATGCCCCCTCATGAATAGAACATTCTGAGTATCTCTTACTCAACTGCTGGTGGGAATGTTACACATATACTTAGACATTGTTGACAAGATGAAGGTTCAAACTCACACGGAACAGAATAAAAGATGGTAGCAGTTTATTTCTGAGAAGCAATTGGATATCTTAA
The DNA here is from genome assembly GCF_000001405.40 of Homo sapiens. Classification (NCBI taxonomy): domain Eukaryota; kingdom Metazoa; phylum Chordata; class Mammalia; order Primates; family Hominidae; genus Homo; species Homo sapiens. The sequence goes on from NC_000009.12 coordinate 104,260,081, forward strand.
TCATGTCACTCTTGAATGGCCACAGTTACTTTTTCCATAATAAAATGTCTAATTGCTTTGGGTTCCAGTCTCCATTTTCAAGCTGGTCTGGGGCATTAGTGTCTGCCTCCATTAGCCTTTGCTGGAAGTTATTTTTATGATAATTTTGGTGCCAACTGCATTACAAAAAGGTTGATGGCCAGTATTTTGGCCCGTGATAATTGCATGCTTTCAATGTTAGAACTGCCAAGCTGTTAATTAGCTTAATGTAAGGACTACATATCCACTTTTTATTCTCATTTTGATCTCCCAGCATTATCTTCTTCGTAAGTAGATCTCTGCAAAAGTGTTTGAAAAGTGCTTGTTTTCACAAAATAATCATGCTATATTAGTGAGTTATGAACAGATGCCTGTTAAGAGAGCTAATTTAGTCCATTACTCAAAGCATGAACCAAAACATCATTGGTGCACAGAGAATTTATGGGAAATCCACTTTTGCCACGCTCTGACAACAGCACAGCAAATCAAGGTAGTACTCTGGGACTAAAACAATTTCACTATTCATAGAACTTTGATATCCAATGGTTCCTTGATTAGCAGAGAAAAGCTACACATATCAAAAATCAAGTCTAATAGAGAAAAGGAAGCTAAGCTGCTTACAACCACACTGCAGACTTACTGATCTTTCTTTTGTTTCCATTTGTCTATTTTAAGATGTTGATAGTGTTAGGTAAAAGTTTGACCATACAACCCTGCCTCACGTGGGATTAGGATTTCTAATGCATGTCCCTTCTTTTATCACCCATTTTACTGGTAGATTGTAAGATTCTGGACTGAGTTTGCCAAGTTGGCTGCTAGGCAAATAATCATTAAAATTGAAAATGGCTCTGACAGAAGAGTCTTTGAGCACATTTGAAACTCAGGGATGGCTGGAGCTGCCACATGGTGTGATAGCCTCTATTCTGAAGGAGACAATCTATACGGCATAATACCTCAAATAGGTAACAATGAATGCTATATATTATATTTTATAATATAATCCTCATCAATGATTATGAAAATAGAAATAACAATGATAATATGGTTGTCGTTGATAAAAAAAGAGAGTGTAATGCCTGATTCTCAGATTTAATTATTGTTAGATTTCACAGCAGAGAGCATTGTACAGTATAGTCAAGTGGGTTTGGACATAAAGGATGTCAGTAGTCTTGAGTTCTAGACCTGTTTATCACACTCATTTCTATGGCCATAAGAAAGTCAAATAATTTCTCTGGGTGTCAGTTTTGTCAGTCACAAAACAGGGATAGGAATGAGGATTAACTGTAACTGGACACAAGGAAGCTTACGGAGGTGATAGAAATGCTCTAAAAGTGAATTGTGGTCATCATTGTGCAACTTGGTCCATTTACTAAAATGTATCGAATTATACACTTCAAATGGGTAAATTTTATGGCATGTAAATTATCTCAGTGAATTTGTTAAAAAGATGAAGGTGTTTGTTCATTCTTTCACCAAAGGAACAACATATTCTATTATCAAAAAGCTCACAATCTGAAGTAGGAGATAAATCAATTTGCAGTTATTCTTAAACAAATTCATTTGCAATTATTATTTCTTTCCCCATAATATAACATTTATTTGGTGCCAGGCACATTTCTTTGTTTGGCCAACTCTTCATTCTTAAACATACATTTCTAGCTCCTTTGAAAGTCCTTTCCTGAACGTTTGAGGTTGTTGCCTGCCTTTCCTCTGTAACTATCATTAACACCTTGTGTTTTTATGCTCATTACCATTGAGAAGCCTCTGATTATCTGCACATCCGGGTCCTCTTCTATGAGAAGGGAAATAGATCATCAGAGGTCACATATCCATTAAGTGGTGGAGCTGAGGTTCAGACCCAAGCCTTTTTGGCTCCAGAGTATGTGTCTTCATAGCCAGTACCCCAGTCTTCTCATTTATTAATTATGTTTTATATCATCTCTGCTTTATCAATTCACCTATCTTTCTGGTTCCTATTTCAGGATCATTTGCTTTTATTTTTATTTCACCTTTGTTTCTGTATTTTTGTTGTGCACTTTTTTAAATTCTTATATTTAAAAAATATTAATTCCTTAATTCACTTTTTTTTCTGATTTGGCAATTAAAGCTTGTAAGGCAATTCACTTATCTTTCAGTGTAGCTTGGCAACAATTTTAAGTTTTAATATAGAGTTAATTGTGATTAATTTGATGAGTAGTATCCACAGTGAGATATATACATATTTTAATTTAATTCTTGATTATAGTCACAACTCTCTGTTTTCTATCTTTTATTGGCATCATGAGCAGATTTTATATTATTTTGTATTATTAAAATTCAGTTCAGTTTTATATATATTATGTCATTCTAATGGAAACTTGGTAGGAAGAAGAGTAAAATACCTCAACTCAAATACTGATTTTTTGAAAGCGACAGGACATATCAACATAAGGAGAAGAAACTTTCATGGGAAAAGGGCATGCAAAACTATTCAAAATAAATTGTGTTTAGTATGTTCTAGCTTGCTGTATGAAATTGATAGGAGTATCCATGAAATAAGATTTTTTTGAGGGAAAACATGCAAGTTATTCAAAATAAATTCTGATCACATTCTAGATCAGTGTTCTGCAGGTGTTTTCTGCAAAGAGACAAATTGTGAATATTTTCAACTTTGTGAGCCATATGGTCTCTGTAGCAGCTACTCAACTCTGCCCTTGTAGCAGGAAAGCAGCTATAGAAAATAAGCAAACAAACAGATGTGGCTATGTTCCAATATAACATTATTTACCATAATACAGAAATAAGATTTGACCCGAAGGCATAGTTTAATAGCCTTGTTCTAGATTATTATATATGCAAGTGACATGAATATTAACAAAGGAAAGAATATTTGAGGGAGGGGAAAGGCACAAAATTATTCCAAATAAGTGAGTGCTGATTCTGTTCAATTCATTTCCCTTTGAATTGATGGGACTCTAGGACCTTGAATCCACTGATATTGAAAGATTTGCTTCCCACTTAACTCCCTGACCATGAAAGAATACCAGCAATGTCATTTGCATCTTTAGTGAAGCCTGAAAAATTTATGACATTGCGAAAAAAGTGCATTCCTTAGAAAAAAGTGGGGCAAACTCAGCTTTGAGCAGAAATAGTACTGACCATTCTGAATGGAAGATAGAACCTAAGAAGGGCAAGTAGGAAATATTGTCTGTATTGAAACTAATAACTGGATTCACAGACAATAGTTGGTTAGTTAAAGGGAAGAAGATTCAAGGATATGAACCCCTGCCTCTCTTGTTTCTGTATTTCTAACCAAATGTGGCTTCTGTTTCACCAACTGTCATGGCGAAGTGTCCATTCCCAAGTAAGCAGGTGACTTTAAAATGTTTGGATATTATCTAAGCTATACTGAATTCATATGGACACCAAGGTGGTCATATGAGGGTAGAGTTCACTGACCCCCATATTTCACATCTTCCATCTATTTTCTTAACAATATATCTTGACACCATTTATGATGATGCAGAGGTGTAGCCTGATTGAAATGTGGATCCATGCTTGGTTTGAAGTCGCTGTTAGTACACTCTGAGCAAGTGTGATAAATAGGTTTTGTCTTTCCTTAGGTGCCTCTCCATGTAAATTGATGACTGCTGCCCAGGGGAATGATCTGGGCCTGAAAACACGAAGAGAGATTAGTTTAAGTGTGACAAGGCCATAATCTGTAACAAGGAATGTCTATCATAGTCACAAAAGAGAACCACAGTGCCAGGAAGACCCTCTCTGCTTGGAAAAGGTCTCCTGCTCTGTGGCTGACAGCTCAGGTCTCCTTAGCTCAACTCCACTTGTTCCCTCCAAAAAACTCTTTTTTATTCAAATTTGACAAAATAATTACTGTTACCATTTGGCTTTGAATGACTCAATTATGGCTGCAGTCACTTGGTTTAGTAATTACTAAAATTATGGTTTGGGCTTAAAGCCGGTTTTGTCTTTTCTCTCTTCCCCATGGAAGCAGGGAGAGGCACTTTTATAGGGAAATAGATCGTCATTCAGAAGCCAGGTTGTAACAATTCATTTTAAATGACCTCAGTCTATGGGAAGATAAAACTGAACAGCCTGGCTGAGAATAGGGTTACATTTTTTTCTTGCTCTTTAAGAAACCTGGCACCCTGAAACTGTATGCTTGATTTTCATGGATAATACCAGTCTCTGTGAAGAAGCAAAAATTCTATTTTTCCATTTTGCTCTTGCTCTTATGCTAACCATGTTAGAATTTGTTATTCACTGGCTGTTATTTAATCTATGGTGTTTTGGTTTAACTAAAGCAAACATTCTGGGTTCTTAACAGGCTCCTAGGTTGGTTTTGGAGAGAACAAACCTTGGGAGGCATGCAGATTTTAGAAATTTTGAGGGCATAGTTTTATGTGGTTTGGAAGCTTTATCAGAGTTTTATTGACGAGTTTGCTGAGTATATGATAGATAATGTTTTGTCATGTAAAGAACACTCACAAGTTTCAAATTCTTGCTGTCATTTTTATTGTATGCAACCTTGGTTACATCACTGTATTTTAATAACATTGGTTTCTTTATCTCTAAATGGGAACTGATCCAAGATATTTCCCTCATGGAGTGTTTGCAAGACTCTGATGAAGTACCAAAAAAGTTAATTAATTAAATGAAATAAGCAAAAAACAAATGCAATAAATAGAAAACAGTTAAAAATATAACTATTAATCCAACTATATCAATAATTGCTTTAAATGTGAAGGGTCTAAAAACACCAATAAAAGACAGAGACTATCAGAGTAGTCTACATTCCACAAGAAACCCATTTTAAGTATAAAGATTTAGATTAAAAGTAAAAGGATGGAGAATGATATACCATGCTAACACTAATAAAAAGATAGCTGAAGTAGCTATATTAAATTTAAACAATGCAGATTACAGAACAAGAAAAATTATCAGAGATAAACAGGGATATTATATAATGATAAAGGGGTAAATTCTTCAATAAGACATGCATTTAACAACAGAGCATCAAACTACGTAAAGTAAAAACACATAGAACTGCAAGGAGAAAAAGAAAAATGCACTATTATAGTTGGAAACTTCAATACCACTCTTCTTTCAGTAATTGATAGATCAGGCAGGCAGAAAATCAGTAAGGTTATGGCTGACCTAAGCCACACTATCAATCAACTTGATCTAATTGATATTTATAGATGCTTCATCCAACAACAGCAGATTGTACATGCTTCTCAAGCTCACATGGAACATTCAACAAGATAAACCATACTCTGACCCATAAAACACACCTTAACAAATTTAAAAGTATAGAGATCAAAGAATGTATGCAATTGAACTAGAAATCAATAACAATAAGATAACTGGAAAATCCCTAAATATGTGGAAAATGAGAAATCACAAGGAACATAGAACAGGAACAAAGCATTCACCCAGGAAGTTGCAGTCCCTGTTTTCTTTTGTGTGTTGGTAAAGGGGGTACCTTGGTGAGAGAAGCCATAGTCTGTTGTTAGACAAAAAGAGGAAAATACCATGTTTGGGTTGAAGTTTCATTACTCTCCCTGAGAATTAAGTTAGTAAGAATTTTCTTGTATTCTTTTGCAGAAACTGACTTTGTCCACGAATATAGTTAATCCTTATTATTTGTAGATTCTGTATTTACAAATTTGTCCACATCCCAGAATTTATTTGTAGCCTCCAAATCAATGATTGTGACATTTTCATGGTCATCTATGGACATGTGCAGAGTGGCAAAAAATTTGACTCACCAGGGTACATATTCGCAGCTGAAATAGAACAAGGTGACATTCTGCCTTCTTGTTTCAGCTCTCATACTGTAAATAAGTGTCCTGTCCATGGTCTATTCATGTAGTGTGACAGGTCCCCCACCAGGCCATTTAAAGGCATATGTCTGCTGTCTTATCCCTGAAGGCTGAACAGTGAGCCACGACCGTGGTGCCCAGCCAAGAAGCAGGTGTTTCTGAGAACCCAGCATCCCAGAGAATATCTGAGAATATATCAATCTCCTCACTCAAACACAGCAGGCAAAGAGCCAGAAAATGAGCTTGAAAGCAGTTTAGAGATGGGTGGTGCTACAGATCTCTAGAGCTGTCCTGCCACCATCCAGGAGTGCCCTGTATGTAAGTCCTGTTAAACTCATCTACTCATCAAGCTGGACTTATCCAACTCACTCTGTGGTCTCTCAGCAACTTTCAAGTTTGGAGGGAGGAGAGGAAGTTGAGTCCCATGTTTTTCTCATAACAAGTTAGTGCCACGTTTTTTGCATTTTTATGATTTTTTGTTAAAGATTTTGCTGTTTCAAATGGCCTCCAAATATAGTTCTGAAATGTTGTCTGTTTTTCCTAAATGCAAGAGAAATCATACATAATGTGCCTTCAGAGAAAACACATGTGTTTGATGAAGTTACTTCAGGCATAGGTTATAGTGCTGCTGGCTGTTAGTTCAATATTAATGAATCAACAACATATATAAGACATAATTTCTTCAAACAGACACAGATAAAACAAGGTATATATTGTTCTATTGAAGAAAATGTTACCAGAGACCCAAGGGAACCCAACCCCATATTTCCCCTAGGAGCAGTGGTTCAGTAGTTACTTAATTCGGTGTTTGTGATGACATTATAGAACACAATTACCATGAATAATAAGAACCGACTGAAAGAATAGTTGTTGATGCCTACTACGTAGCAGACATGGACTTTGTGCTACTTATAGAAAAATTATTAAACAAGTACATATGAGGCCTTCCTACATGCCTGACTTACTCTAAGCAATGGGGACACAGTGGTATATAAACCAGACTCTACCCTTCTTTCTCACGAAGCTTATATTCTAATAAAGGCAGAGAAAAAAACAGACACATAGTTGGTGGTAAGTGCTAGGAAGGACCTTCCATATTCTAGTACGTATGAAGTAAATAAAATATGGAGAAGTTAACTAAGTTGCCTACGAAAAACAAATACAAATGAAAGATGTCAAAATTCAAGCTTAGATTTTCTGGCTTCAAAGCTCATGCTCTTTCAACTATTTTGCACTTGATCATTCCCATGAATTCACGTACCAGAGCTTTGTGGTAGGAGAACTGCTCAAGCTCCAGTAGGGAAAACGATCTCAAAACACAGTAATTTTATGCTTTAGAATAGTAGTTTTCAACTGGGGGGCAATTCTTTCCTGCCAGGACATTTGACAATCTCTGAAGATATTTTTTGTTGTCATACTGGGGTAGAGGAAGTACTAATGACATCTAGTGGGTAGATAATAGGGATGGTACTTAACAATCTATTGTACATAGAAAATAATAATCTGGCCTTAATAGTGCTCAGGTGGGGAAACTCTGCTCTAAAGCCACATGACTTTAAAAAAGCCAGAAGAGCCAGACTTCCAAGTATCTAGCTAAGGACTCAAGTGGAATAATGAAGAATCTGATCTCTGGCTATCACTGATTAGATTGCTTGTTAAGCATCATCTTGTCATTGTTATCTTAAGATCTTCCTAAGCCACTGGAAATATCTCACTTTGGATGCCAGTGTATCCCTCTCCCAACAGCCCATTCCCTTCTAAGCTGGTTCATAGTTTGGGGAACTTAGGAACTGAGGAAGTAAAAATAAGAAAAGGAAAGGAAGAATGTGTTGAAGGGGAAAAAAATGAAGAGACAGACTGAAATATAAGCATCTCAAAGAGAAACTTGGCCAACAGGTATATGAAAAAATTCTCAACATCACTAATCCTCAAGGAAATGCAAATCAAAACCACAGTGAGATATCATCTTACGCTAGTTAGAGTGGCTAACAGAGAAAAGGGAACTTTCATATATTATTGGTAGGAATGTAAATTAGTACAGCCATTATGGAAATCACTATGGGGGTTTTACAAAAATCTAAAAATGGAACTACCATGTGCTCCAGCAATCCCACTGCTGGGTATCCATCCAAAGAAAAGGAAATCAGTATACAAAAAAAGAGGTTTGCACTCCCAAATTTACTGTGGCATTACTCACAATAGACAAGATAAGGAATCAACAGACGAATGGATAGAGAAAATGTGGTATATGTACACAAAATGGAATATTACCCAGACATAAAAAGGAATAAAATCCTGTCATTTACAGCAACATGGATGAAACTAGAGATCATTATGTTAAGTGAAATAATCCATGCACAGAAAGAAAATATCACATGTCCTCAGTCATATGTGGAAGCTAAAAGAATTGGTTTCATGAAGACAGAGAGTAGAATAATAATTACTAGAGGCTTGGAAGAATGTGGGTGGGGGGTTGGTGAAGAGAGGTTGGTTAATAGTTACAAACATGCAATTAGAAGGAATAAACTCTAGGATTTGAATAGCAGAGTAGGATAACTATAGTTACAACAATATATTGTATATTTCAAAATAAGTAGATTCGAAATGTTCCCAACACAAAGAAATAATATTTGAGGTGATGAATATCCCAAATACTCTGATTTGGTCATTACAGATAGTAGGCATGTATTAAAATATGACAGGTACCCCATAAGTATTAATTACTATGTATGAATAAAAAAGAGAAACTTTAATGTCCCTCCCTTATGATTTTCCTTTTGTTTTTCCCTCTCATTCTCCTTACAGCTCTACCCACTCCTTCTTTCTTCAACAGATATTTACTGAGTATTTTTTACTGTGCTACGCACTGTCTACAGGGGATTATCTCCTGAGTGCACTTTATTACTAACGAGTATTGTATTTTACAGAGTATTTTTACCACCTATTATCTTGTTTGAACCTTTCTTTTTTTTTTTTTTTTTTTGAGACGGGTCTCGCTCTGTCGCCCAGGCTGGAGTGCAGTGGCGAGATCTTGGTTCACTGCAACCTCTGCCTCCTGGGTTCAAGCAATTCCCTGCCTCAGCCTCCTGAGTAGCTAGAACTACAGGTGCCCGCCAACACGCGGTCTTTTTTTTTTTAAGTAGAGACGGGTTTCACTATCTTGGCCAGGCTGGTCTCGAACTCCTGACCTCATGATCCACCTGCCTCGGCCTCCCAAAGTGCTGGGATTACAGGCGTGAGCCACTGCGCCTGGCCTGAACCTTTCTACAAGCTTCATTTCACAGATAAGTAAGCTGAGGTTCAGGGAGCATATGTGTATGTGCTGGGGGTACTGTTAGAACAAAAACTCACTTCTGTACTCTTCTTTCCTCTGCATACTGCTGACATAGGTATGAAGATATGTGGTTCTATTTTGCCTAAAAGGTACAGAGGTAGCAGAATTGGTATCAATTTTGGGTTAAAAAAAATCACACAAAACACAATTTTTATAAAAGATGATGTACTGTCTTGGGCATTCTCAATGAAGCACACTAGAAATAATATTAAAATGTCTGTTCTATTGAACTGTTGTTAGATGCCAAGCACTAACACAGAGTAGCTCATATAATCCCTCCAAATATCCTGTGAGCTAAACTGGTTTTGTTCTGGATCTGAGAGAGGTTGAATAACCTGGGTAAGCATGACTAAACTTCAAGGGAGCTTATCAGTCATAAAAGCAACAGGAAAGAAAAATGTTCTATTTTGAGTGACCTTCCAATTGTGTTTTTTGTATTAACTGGTATTTAGCCATGGATGAGTAAAGGCCCTGAAAAAATAATCAACAAATTTGTATCATTTTGAGTCCAAAATCTTGGTACACAAACAACCAAGATGTTGATTAATCCACCTCGCATACATGCTAACAGGTTTATTCATATCTTTCATTTAAATAGAAAGTGACAATTTTCTTATTAAATAATTTAAATCCAAATATTAATAGGACACCAGCAACTTTTACTTTGGAGAATTCATTCATCAAGAAAAGTGGTATTCCACCAAGCACTGTTGCTCTCTTCTGAATCAGACTACTTGTTAGAACATTGGCTCTGATTGGTCTACTAAAACAAAGAGTTCTGGCAACCTCTAAGTCATGGATTTGAATCCCATTTTATTCAGGATTGTGTCTTAAACGCACTAGGGACAGTGCTGCGAAACAAAATATGCCAAGCTTCATGGAAATCTTGGAGGTCTGTCTTTGCCTAGACCATAGCAGAACTTGCCCTGTGTTCTAAATTCTGTCTCTAAGGCAAACAAAACAGAGGTGATCCACTACAACCAAATTAATCCAGCAAGCTAAGGCTCAGATCACTGTGGATATGTCCAAATCCTCCATGAGGTAAATTTGCTAAATAATGTAACTTCTGTCATTTTTACTTTCAAGGTGAATGAAGACTTGGTGAAAGCATTACCTCTGGAAAGGATGGCTTGAAACCTCAACGGAAGGGATGGAAGTTAGGCAATCAGCTTGGCTATATTTGCTTAAAAGTTAATAATTCACTAAAACTGTTTAACTTGGAGGGATCTAGACACAGGCTATTTTTAATCTGGCAACCTAGTATTAGCAGGAATTGGATTAGCTATCATAAAAATGAGCTTGAAGGCAGTAGAAATGAAAAGATTGGAAAATTAAAAGTTTTGAGAGTAGGCTTGCTCTTAATATTTGTGGGGGGTGAGGTAAAAGTACAAATGGAAAACCTCATTATCTGCATCCTGTCCCTTTTATATGTAGCATCATAAGTAGCCTTTTGCACTCCAGTCTCCATTCACAAATTCCATCCACTCACCTCATGTCCACCTCTCTAGTCTAGGTTTGTGTACGTTGACCATGTGGTCTGCCCTTGAGAATGGACCTGGAATGAGGTTAGTGCAAGCCCTAGAAGGACTATTTAGGCAAGAACTTTAGGAGTTCTAGAAAACAGAAGGATCATCTATGGGAAAGAGGGAGTACAGATAGCCTAAACTTTTGGTTTCATGAGCTCCTCCCCTCTGTGAAAGGGCACAGATGGAAGAGGTCCTAAGGTAGTTTCAAACTGAGGAGGCCAGGACAGAGACCCCAGTTGCTAGGGTCAGAGGGTTGTGTTGTGTGGGGCCATAAGCTAACTGCCTTCACATGTGAGAGGCTCTCATAGTTTCGTGGAAGGGATTAGTGTGGCTAGGGAGAAGAATGGGAAATTAGAACCAGGACACAGTTTGGGCTAATAATTTGGGGTTATGTAACAAAAGATTTTAGCTAGCAGCAAGGAAAAACTTCTTTATCCTTAGACCAAGCTGCAGTGAAACAGAATGAACCATGTCTAAGAATACCTAAAATTGTGAGGAAGAATTGGAACAGAAACCAGGTAACAATCTGCCATGGGGTTATATAAGAGATTTCTGCACTAGTTAAATGTGAAGTAGACAAGAGTTTTGTAAACCTAAACTCCATGGTGACCCTAATAATTTAGTGGAGCTATATTGGAGAACCATGCGTAGGGCGAGGTGGGCAGTCCTGAGGAAGTTGGGAGGTAGAGATAGGACTGAATTATGTTTAATGTGTTGCACAGTATGATTTTATTACAAGAGTTCTTTGCCTTCAAAAGTCTTGAAAACTACTATACAATATGATCTCTGAAGTTCTTTCCAACTCTACTATTCCATGAGTTTAAAAAACTAGAAGTTTTCCAGGTGCAGTGGCTCACACTTGTAATCTCAGCACTTTGGGAGGCTAAGGCAGGCAGATCACTTGAGGTCAGGAGTTCGAGACCAGCCTGGCCAACATACTGAAACCCTGTCTCTACTAAAAATACAAAAATTAGCGGGGCATGGTGGCAGGTGCCTATAACCCCAGCTACTCAGGAGGTGGAGGCAGGAGAATTGCTTCAACCTGGGAGATGGAGGATGCAGTGAGCCAAGATGGCGCCACTGCACTCCAGCCTGGGTGAAAGAGTGAGACTCTGTCTCAAAAAATAAAAATAAAAATAAAAAAACTAGATTCCATCATGGAAAAATGTCAAAGATAACAAGAAGTCAGACTAAGTGAAAAATATTGACTATTAAAAATGTGAGCAATTTTTCGTCAAACATGTCAGCCCAAAATGCTCAAAATGTGTAGACTAAGATTTTAAGATGATTTTATGTGATATATGATTTTATTTTTAGCTAGTTTTTTAATTAGAAAAAAATACATGTGAATGGTTTAAAAAATTACATTGTGAGTATAAGTTGGAAACTACTTGTAAGCTTTGTTTTCCTGTCCTTACATCAAATTCAACCACCTATAACTATACTGGCATCTTTTGTATAGCTGTCCAGAAATTTTCTTTGTATATCCAAACTTATGCTGTGTATATCTTTCTTGAATTAAAAATTTAATTAAATATTAAATAATACAAAAGATGTGTAACATATATAAGTTTTAAATAGTAATAATAAAGTCAATGCATAATACCCACCCCCTTGGCTAAGGAATAGAACACATCTACCACCTTTGAAGACCTCTGCATGTCTTTTCTTGATGGCATTTATCTCGCTCTCTAACACCTGGTAGGAAACACTATCTTCATTTCAGGGTTTGTCAATTCCATTGCTTTCTTTACAAATAGTTTTGCCCCATAAGAATGTCCATTTAAATTTTATATTTATTATTTTAAAATTTACATATGAAATTCTATTTTATTCATTATTTGATTTGCTTATTTTATTTTTATATTGAATTTCATTGATGTTTTCCTCTTTAATTCCACTGTCTCTCCTTATTACAAGTTTGAATGTAGCCCATTTCTTTTAGTGATTATTGTAGACATTTTAATGTACATATTTAACTGTCTAAATTTAATACATATCTTAAGCTTTCTTCATAATAAAACAAAAACTTTAAAATGTTTTGAGTTCAATTACTCACCTTCCAACTTTTATTTTTTTAATATTTAGAGCTTTATTTTCATTTTAATCCCACAATATAGACATTTATAATATTGTTTTATACATGTCTTGCTTAGATTGATCCATATGTTTACCATTTTTGTTTATCATTTTGTATTTCATCTCATCAATTCCTTCTGTAGTCATTTTTGTATAATTTTCCTTCTGAACTACATCTTTCACATGTTCTTTTAGAAAGGGTTGGTTGGTCTTTAACTTTTTTTGGGTTTAGTTTCTCACAAATGTCTTTCTCTCAAAATTCAAATTTTGACCTAATCCATGAAAGGCACTTTCACTGGATATATATTTCTAGGATGACAAGTTTGCTTTAATCAGTACTTTGAAGATATATTCTTTTTTTGTTTGATTTATATAATTACAACTGGGCAGTCACTTCTTCTTTGGTGTACAACAGTTTTACTTTGATCTATTTTAGAGGGGATTTCTTTTTAGTTATTATACTTGGAATTTATCATAATTCTGAAACTGATGATTTACATATTTTACATATTCCAGAAAGTTGTTAAATAGATCTGTTTGAATATCACTTTTCCTTCATTTTCTCTATTATTTCCTAAACATTTTAAACAGTCTCACTTAAAAGTTGTCTTTATCTTCCAAATTTCCATTTCTTTTTCTCTCTGTGATGCATTCTATGCATTCTTTCAGATCTCCATCTTAATGCACTGGTAACTCCCTTCATCTATGTCTATTTTGTGTTTATTTCATCCATTCATTTTAAAATTTCGATACTTATATTTTTATTTCTTGAAATCCTATCTGGTTATGTTTCAAATCCCTTTTGTCATGTTTTATACACTCTGTTTTGATAACACTTTTAAAACACCTTTATTTGTTTGAACATATTCAGTGTATCATTTTGCAATTCTTTTAGGTGCCAAATTTGCTCTCTGTTATTTCTGTGGACTTATGCATATGATGACCGATTTTCTTTTGTTGGTGGTGATTTTTGATTGTGAACTAATTTATGGGAAATGTGTCATGAGACCTGGGTTTAAGCTGCATTCCTCCAGAGAAAATTTGGGTTTGCCTATACCAGTTGCCTGGGATCAGTATGGAACTCAAAATAAATTATCCTCTTGAGATTTTTAAGAAAACTGATTGTTTAAATTTAGTCTGCAAACACACTTACTTGTTTCTAGTTATAGCTCTTCTAAGATTTCTTGTTGACTCTTTTGTGGGGTATTGCTTTTTTTTCAAATTCGCCTTTTGGTGAGGCTGTAAACATTTGGATACACAAACTTACAGAGGGGTTTCCTATTAAATATTTAACCTTCAGCAGAGTCCATTCTTTGTCTCTGATCATCTACAACTATCAGTTCTATCAGAATTAAAGCTCAAGAACACCAGATATGGGTAACTAGCGGTATTAGAACTCACTTCCTTTTCTGGATTCCTATTTATCTCTGGTTCTTTAATGTCTGGCAATTTTGCTTATTTCCTCTCAACTTAGCATACACATACATGCACGCACACACACACACTTTCACACACACAGTCACATATATGTGTGTGTATATATACATAATTATTATAGCTAGCATTATTTTGTTATTCCTAATAGAAAAGTTTTTCAGGTTTCGAGTTCACAATACTAACAGAAATTAATGCTTACTGTTTAAGAGTTTATAACAGTCTTTCATACTTCTATATAAACTTTTTCATTTAAAAATGTAATAACATTAGGAGATATACCTAATGCTAAATGATGAGTTAATGGGTGCAGCACACCAACATGGCACATGTATACATATGTAACAAACCTGCACATTGTGCACATGTACCCTAAAACTTAAAGTATAATTTAAAAAAAAGAAAGAAAAAATGTATTCAGCAATCTTCTTATATTAACATGTACTTTGCTTCATGTTTTGAATGGATGCATAATATTAAATACTATGAATGAAATATCATTTATTTAACAAGTCCCCTACTGATGGATATTTAAGTTGTTTTCAGTTTCTTGTTATTACAAAAACAAAGTCAACATACACACATACACACACACACACACACACACACAAACATATATATGTTACATATATATGGTTCCAACAGCTAGATTAAATTTATAGAATTAGAATTGCTAAGTCAAATAATATAGTACTTAAATTTTGATGTTTATTTCTAATTTGCTTTTCAGTGTTTAAAACAACTAATTTAAGAGAGAAAAAGAAAATCTATGCCTGTATCCCCATTGCCTTATCTACATTGGGTTTTATGAGCACATTATTATTAATTTGAGGAATAGTTTGTTTCTTAACTTTATTCTAGCATTTATTCCATGGAGATAAAATGTATTATGAAAACATGAATGGAGTGCTTTTAAAAGACATTTTTCATGGCAAGTGAGGAATTGATTTGAGCCAATTTTTCTCGTATTCAACTGTGAAATAGAATCCAATATAACAGCAAAGTCATTAGATCTCTCATCTGAGTGTGAGTGTCCTAATTGTTTGGAGGGTCCTCCGAATGAGTCTGATTGGAACACCTGTTCCAACGAGAGTGGTAATGGCTCTTGACATTCAAGATCAAGGAAGAAATCCATGCTTTCTTCTAGCATGCAGTGCTTTCCTTCTCAGTGTTGTCCCACCAAGCCAGAGAGTGGTAACAAAGAAGACTCAGCAGTTCCTCCCTCAGATGAGGAAAGCTATGTGGGGTCTTCTCAAAACAATCATCTAATTTTGAGCCTTGAGGATATGAAAAGGAAAATCAAGCCATTGAGAGAGTGGACTATCCATGAGTTACTGAGGGAGTTTGGGGATAATGGGAAGTTCCAACCAAACTCCATGTCTCTGAGCTACTTTAGAGATCCAGTGGTTATGAATTTCAGAAGAGCTCTGTATTATTCTGGAATTTGGGTGACGCATATTCGAGGCTACAAACCTCAAAAGCACTTTACAGCTAATTATTTTAAAAGAAACCCAGGTTGCCTACACCGGCTGGTTCCCTGGCTGGAAGGGGAACTAACAGCTGTTTATGGAGATTATGGCTACACAGTGAAGAACATCCTAATCACCATCCTCCATCACATGACAGAATATGACTTGGACAGTGAGTCCTTCATTCACCTCCTGGAACCTTATCTCTTACAACACACCCACCATTTCCTACATGAGTTTATTAGTTTTGTTCATTCACCTTACAACATGGAGACCTATGACCAGCGAGCCATCTATCAGTGCTCTGCTGCTTCACCATGTGTAAACAAGAAGCCCCTTGTATCAGCTCCTGTTTCACCTCTGCCTAAGGATCACAGTCTACTGATATCTCAACATAATACAAAGCAGTCTAAAAATACCCAGGGTCAATGGAATAAAGAGGAGAGGCCCCTGTTAGGCTTGAAACAGTTTCCAAATGGTAACTCTTCCTTGAAGAAATCTGAAATCCCACCAGTCTGTGATAAAACAGTAAGCAAAATCTATGGTGGAATCAAAGACAAAGCAGAATCGGGTGACCACAAAAGCATCATTTCTATGAATAATATACTCCAGAAGTGGGCTACTCCAAGGGAAAGGTGCCCAGGCCTACTGAATTGCAAAAAAAAGTTCAAGAGAAAAAGACAGAAGGGATAAAGTTGTTTCCTGATCATGTCCATGATCTGGGAAAGAGTGACACAACTGCACACACCTTCAGTACCCCAGCAATTTCTAATCAGGTGCAACCATAGAAATATAGTTTAAGAGAAAGAAAGGATTTGAGCCTTGGCCAGAAGATAAACTTTCAGAAAAAAGAGGAAGACAATAACAAATACTCAGATTCTTCACCAAAGACCTTTCAAAGATTGTCCAGAGAAAGATCCTTGAAAAGATGCAAATCCAGAGAGAGAGACCCCTCTTGGAGTTGCATTTCAGAAAATGCCTTTTCTCCTAAGAGAGATGGCAGGAAACTGAGTTCTTTCAGAAAAAAGAGGATGAAGTGTAGACAACCCTCCCAATTTGTAGAAATTGGGTCACACTCCAGGAGAAGAATCCAAAGACGATCAAGGTCCAATACTCACAGATCCAAATCCTGGTGTGTTGGATCTAGAAAGAGATCTGTAAGCAGAGAATTGAGTAATCTCTCTCTGAGAGGAAGTCACAGAAGTGAACACTTCACCCAGAATATATGCTGTGAGCCCTCAAAAGACAAGCATGCCCATGGCAATGAATCAGACTGTGGGAGGCCATCTTCAACCACAGTCCAATACGTGAAGCTTTCTTCAACTGCTGGGAAGAGACCCAAGTGTGCTTCTAAAAGTGAAGGTACTTCCCAAGCAGGAAGACGCTGTAACAGTCCCACATGCCTACAGCTCCAGAAACACAGATCCCCAAGTAAACAGGAGATAAAGCAAGAAACTACATTTCCTAGAGCTAGAAGAACCAGAGCAGTTAGGCACAGAAAAACCAAATGCCATTATTCAGATATACACACCACAGAGGATGTCAGTGATGAATTGGGCAATCTGGATGATATAAGACAAATGAGTGGTCTGAGTGTGCACCCTCCTGCAGGAGGCAAATCCACGAAAAACAGCATTGGAATCTTCAGAATATTTACTGGGTCAAGAAAGAATACAAAAGAGACATACTATCAGAAACATTGGTGCAAATTGTTTTAAAAGTCAAATCAGTCTACTAAACTAACCACCAAGCTAGTTATTCATACATTCAAAGAGTATGAATATAATCTAAAAACATTACTGAAAAGATTTATCACATCGCTTTATAACTGAAAGTAAAAGCCTGGTTATTAAATTCAAAGTTGACTTTGGAGACAAATGCAAATCATTATATTGGTCATATATGTAAATATTTCTCCCTACTTTTTTTCTTATGAAATCAATTATTAAAATATTTGACTTATTTTCTGTTCCTAGATTTAACTGTAAAGATCGACTGCTCAAAGTTCCAAACACCCTGAAGATTATACTAACAATAAAAGCATAAGTTTCCTAACACAAGTTATTCATATGTTACTAAACACATGTCTTATTGTATTAGTTTGTTCTCACACTGCTATAAAGAACTGCCTGAGACTGGATAATTTATCAAGGAAAGAGGTTTAATTGACTCACAATTCAGCATGCCTGAGGAGGCCTCAGGAAGATTACAATCATGGTGGAAGGGGAAGCAAACACATCCTTCTTCACATGGCAGCAGGAGAGAAAAGTGCAGAGCAAAGGTGGGGAATGCCCCTTATAAAACCACCAGATCTCATGAGAATTCACTCACTATCATGAGAACAGCATGGGGGCACTGCCCCCATGATCTATTCACCTCCCACAAGGTCCCTCCCCCAACATGTGGGAACTACAATTTGGATTACAATTCAAGATAAAATTTGGATGGGGACACAGAGCCAGACCATATCAGTTATTTAAAAAATATTAATATCTACTGAGGTCTATTAAGTTTTAGACCTAATGCATTTTTAGTCCCTAGAAAATAAAGGCAGGGTCACTGTCTTAAGGTATAGGCATTGCCTTAAAGTATTTCACAGCCTAGTTAGCAAAGCAGATGTAAATAAATGGTAAAAATGAGCATTTATGGAATTTTTGGCACACCTTTTACGATCACCCTCTCTTAAAAACTACACCTCCACATGCCCTGACATCCAGATGCCTTTATTAGATGCCATTTTTTTTTCTTTTAGATAACTCTGATTCTCCATCTATAGTACCATGGCTCAATGATGGTGGCTACTTAAGCCAAACTAATCAGTATTTTGCCCCTCTGGCCACACAATATAGTATTTCCCTGGTATTTCTCAAACTGGTCCTGAGCAAAAGGGTCATTCTTTTTCCCTGTTAGCACATGGTGAGAAATTTAAAGTTTAGATATTAAGTTGGTGCAAAAGTAACTGCAGTTTTTGCCATTAAAAGTAACAACAAAAATTACTTTTGCATCAACCTAGTACTATCAAGAGCTGTATTTCTCAATATGAGAAAGTCAGTTTGAGGTAAGACAGGAGAAAGCTAACAGAGTAAAGTGAGACAAGTCAGGTAAAGAGAGTCTTGGAAGTAGGACGTGGATCTTCTAGAACCCGAGCTGTCATTCTATCTTTTATGTGGTTGTATTATTTTAAACCTCCTTAAGTATTGTGTCAGTACATTTCCTGTATGCCTCCTTTATTAAATCAGGATTTTATTCACTTTCAATCAAGCAAGGCACTGGGAATTGGCACAATGGAAGTCTGTTAGAGAATGAAGAGGGAGTAATAATTGTCTTGGGGAAGTTTCTGAAGACTTTTCGGAAGTCATATATGGGTATGGTCCTAAAGGGTGAGTAGGAGTTTACCAGATGAATTTAGTGGCAAGGGCTATCAAGAAAAAGGAGAGACTTGAAGAAAAGGAAGAAAAATGAAATTTTCTAGAACTGCACTTCTAGTGTAGCTGGAAAATGCTGAGAGATACGCTGAGAAGGGAAGTTGATGCCAAGTTTTAAACAGGCATAAAACCAGCTGAGTCTACAGCAGTCACAAAGCACCTAAAGTTAGCACAGGACTCAAAATTCAAATTTTTTATATTTAAACAGTATTTTATTTACTTTCTTAACTTTTGGAAAAGAATAAAGACATGTTTTCTAAAGAAATCTTAGACAACCCATGTAACAGAAATATATGTGTTCCAGTAAACTTAGTTGTAAACATTGCCATATTTCCTTTTTTTGGTATGTAACCTCTTATCAAATTAGGTGAGTTTTCTACTATCAACCATTAGCTAAACCCTTCACGGTAGAAATTCATGGAAATATATGCAAAGCCCTGAAATTAGAAAAAACAGGAAATCAATTATAGTAGTTCAGAACACCACAATTTAGCAGCAGTTTATAAAAAAGAAAGTAAAACTGTTATTGTAGTCAAAAGTATACTTATGAGCCAATAATGCTAGGCTGCATTCAAAGACGTAGAGAATTTCCCTTGGCAGAGAAAAGCAAAGTAGACATATCAAAGTCTTCAAATACACAAATGATTGTTCTCTAGGAAAGTGTATATTTCTAAATAATTTGGAGAGCAAATCTGGCTTCTTTTAAGGGTAAAGTTTCAGGAAGGTGATTCTGCTTAATCAAAGAAAGCCTTTCCTATTAGACTAGTCATATGATTCCTTTAAGAGTGGGAAAGAGGCCAATAGAGAAAAGGAATTCTCATCCCTAGAAGTGTTCATACTTGGCTGGATTCCAAAAATGTGAAAAATTTGACTGGATATTTTCTAAATTCCAGTCTATCTCAAAGATGTCAAGACTCATTAAAGAGTCAAATAAATTTTCTAATGAATCAAAAATGTCATAACCTTAAATATGGAAACAGCATTTCATGGATGGGAATTTATATTTAATGATAACACAGTAACAATAACAAATATTGAAAGTTTACTATTCGTGATATACACACACACATAAATTCTATGAGGCAGTACTTTAATCCACATTTTATCAGTGAGGAAAGCTAGTAAATGTTGTGGTTTGAACTCAAACCTACATGGCCCCAACTTGAGTAAATGATCTTAAACCACAACCTGGTACTACCTACTTTTTAGCTGTTGTTGCCATTTGTATTTATCTATCTTTCACATCCTCTGGTGAACACATTCACAAACACTATGTCATTTTACTATTACAAAAAGTGAGTAAGGTTGGTTCAATTACGCTTATCTTTTCAACAAGGAAAATGCGTTTCAAAGAGATTATATCATAACAAGCAACAGAGCTGAGAGTAAAACTGTAGTTCTAACTGCCCATGCTTTGCGTTTTTATAGCTTATTCTGGTTGACCGAGTTTTTCAAATCTAACTCAGAAATACTTACAACCTTTAAACACCTAGTCCTCTCTGCTACTGAGAGCACTTTTTCATTCAAAATCCAGAATACTAACATAATCGTACAGGATGAGGTGCCAAAGGGTCACTTCTATTAATTTATAACAATAAAAACCAATTCCTCTTTCCCAAGTTCACCCTGAATTGTCCTTTTGATGCCAATGGGTTCATCTCAGCCAGCTGGGAGTAGGCAGGTGACTGATTTTCAATACACATGGCTCAGTTCACACAATATCTTCTATGGCATGTGAGTCAGCTGAAACCTTGGAGGTCCAGGGCCAGTTTTTATCTCTGTCCTTGACTCCCTAGTGCTCTTTGGAGTGATACTCCTTGAGGTATATTTTATCTGTCTAATAAAAAGCAGGTAAAGAGAAATGAGATGTCTGAAGATACTTTAAAGTCATTGTCAGGAGTTAATATAAAAATGAATGAATTATTAATACTTATAGCTTTCCATTTTGCATCTTTTAACTAATGAGAATTT